>NC_000010.11:31227129-31531411 GCF_000001405.40 Homo sapiens | reverse complement strand
TTATTTTCTAATATAAGCATTTAATACTATACATTTTCTTATATTCATTGCTTTTGCTGCAAGCTACAAGTTTTGATATGTTGTATTTACCTTTAGCTCATATTTTATAATTTATTTTTAACCACATCTGGGCTAATGTGGTGTCAATTTTCCAATAATTTGGGGGATTTTTCAGATACATTTGATTTACTGATTTCTACTTTAATAAATTCTTTTGTAGTCAAATAAAATACTTTATTTGCAATTCTTTTAAATCTGAGAGTTGACTTATGGCCCATAATATGGTCCCTCTTCATGAATGTCCCATGTGTTAGGAAAAAAGTGTGTATTCTGCTACTGTTGAATAGAATGTGAGCTAGAGCAGAGGACAATGTTCACATATTGAACGTCCTAATATATTCTCCCATTGATAGGATGAGATGAAATCTGTTCTACATTTTCATGTCAACATAATCACTGCACTTTAATAGTATCCTTTTCAAGGTTCTTTTTAAGTTTGCACACAGATTTGAAAAATCTCATTCCCCATCCATTCTTTTCCACCAGGCTATGAAATGTATATTGCTCTTATATTTTCCATTCATATACTTCAAGGCGAAGATTGAGATACTGTAAACTATTCTCACATGAGATGTGATACAGGCTAGGTAAGAGCATGGATTTCGGGCTGAACATAGTGGCTAAAGCCTATAATCCCAGCACTTTGGGAGGCCAAGGCAGGAGGATTCCTCCAGCCGAGGAGTTCAAGACCAGCCTGGGAAACAGTGAGACTCCCTGACTCTCCAACAAAAACAAACAAACAAACAAACAAACAGCCAGGTGTGGTGGTGTATGCCTGTTGTCCTAGCTACTCAGGAGGCTGAGGTGGGAGAATCACTTGAGCCCAGGAGGTTTGAGGCTGCAGTGAGCCATGTTCACACCACCATACTTCAGCCCAGGCAATAGAGCAAGACCCTGCCTCAAAAAAATAAAAAAGAAGAAGCATGGATTTGGACTCAGATAAGCCTATGTTCATATCCTCATTCTGCTACTTAAGACGTATGTGTTCATGGGCACATTGTCTTTATTTGTATTTTTTATGAGGCTTTTGTGAACATTTTGATAGTAGTGAAATACCTGTGCATGGCATGAATAAATAATATATGGCCCTGCTATTATTTTTGTTGTATGTCATATGAGGGAATACTGGGAAAGGTCCATGTACGTTTTCTTTCTGAAAAGTTCTGGTAATGCCTAAATTCCTTTATTAGTCATTTATCCATACATATCAAGCACTGCCCTCATTGAACTTTATATTACATTGTGGATACCTCCTAAGAAGAGTATCTTATTCTTAGTTCCTAATCCTTTTCAGTCAGTCTGTTTATTGGTAGCTGCTCTCAGTGACAGGGGAAATCAGGCAACATGGTAACGAGCACCTACGAATATGGGGTCCTAGAAAGGGAAGTGAATTCTACAAAGGAGAGCTGACTAGGATCAGTCCTATCGCTCCTATTGGAGGTAGTCATGTCCACAAGCCAGCAATACCTGTGCCATATACCATGAGGTTAAGCACCAGGAAGACACCTAGAAATACACTTTCAAAAAATCAAAATAGTAAGGCAATAGAAAAAGAAGGCATAATTTATTGTGTCTATTATGACTAGTGTTTAATAAGACTTATAAGAAAATAATCAAATTATTAGATCATTTAACATATATTCTGGAATTAGAAGCAAAAAAAGTGAGAACATAGCTGAGCTCCATAAACATGCAAATTATATTTTTATTCAACAAATATCTGTTGTCCCAACTTATGCCAGGCACCCTGTTAGGCAGTGAGGAATGTGAGAGTGACTATGACAAATGTGGTTCCTGTTCCTAGTGGGGAAGGAATATAAATAATAGTATCAGAGGTATGATGACAGAAGTGCAGGAGCTGAGAGTCAGAAAGGCATCTAAACCCAGGCTTCCCTGAAATGACCTGAAGCATGAAATGCGGAGGATTAAGGATTTCAGGAAGAAGGAGCAACCTGTGAAGAGGTTTTGTCAACTCTGACCTCTCCAGAAACATTTAGCCACAAGAAAATCCATAATTTAGTGGAGAATGTCTAAAACATTTAGTGTTACCCAAATTCAGCTCAAGATGAATCAAATGCAGGATGACAATGTACCCCATTTCACAGTTTTCCAAAGAAAATACTGATAATGATGAAAAGAATGACAGCAGTTCAGGCTTGTTGATGCATTTTATTGTGAGATGGGAGTCTGGTAAAAAACTAGAAAATGACCATGATGTAACAAGGAACTTAAAAATGAAGAGTCAGATCTGTAACTTACATACATGAATACAGGAACAAATTGGCACAAAATGTTAAACATTGTTCCCAACACTGTTTATAGAAGTTAATCCTAATTTGGCTTACTAAGGAAATGAGAGTTGTATGGTTAGGCTGATTTCTTAATAAAACTGCAGAGCATCATGCTATTAGTCACACAGTGAATTTCAAAATTTAAGTTTTATATTAAAAACTGGGTAAAGGTAAAATGACTTGATTGTAGTTGTAAAACTAATACATTCCCATTTAAGTTCTGTTCTACAGTCCAAGGCAAGTATAAATGTTAACATAACACTGTTAAATCAAATCTCAATGCAGGAGAACCAATTGCATCTCTACTTTAAATCTTATCAACTTTCCAAATTTTCATACTAAAATATATTATTGTATTAATACAAACTACAGTATTATACACTACACTGTGTAATAAATAAAGAAATATAAAAATAAGACACATAAATATAAAAGTTTTCTAAAACTAAAAGTACATATGTCAGTAAGAAGGGTATTAATACTGCCAGGTTTGAAGACATACAGTACAAAAATGTTGCACAGATCTATAAACTAAAAGAAATAAAATAATACTGATAGGTAAAAATCAGCTAATGTTGTTAATAAATTGGGTCCATAATAACTAACATTTGGAAACAGTTATGAGCCAAATAACAATAGCATGTCCATGTCTGAAATGCAAGTACATGGATAAAGCAGATTAGAAAATTTCCCTTTCGTTTCTGTAGAGAAATTCTGAAAATCAATCAACATAAAATCAATACCGAGGAATTGAAGGATGAAATGTCCCAGTGTTTCAGTTTCTCTGACAGAGTCAGTGGTTTTAAGTTTTATTTGGGAATTTTGATACAAGAGACAAATCAACAAATGCTAGTTATTGTAGGCCACACATTGGATGAAGGCGGGTTAGAGCCTTGAAAATACTGAGAAATGGCACTTACAGCACACAGGTCTTGCTTAAGGCCAAAGGAGATACAAAGCTTCATGTCATATCCTTCATATGTTACCACATATTCAAACACAATCACAAACACTGATTCTGATGATTTTGCTGTCCTTATCAGATTAACATTGTTAGTCCCTGCAATCAGAACTCAATGGCAATCTTTTGAACTCCATTTTAAACCACGTGAGTAAGAAACTTCAGTTCTTCTATCAGCTGCTTTCTTAAGGCTAACAATACACTTTAAATGATAATACGCTCTACTAAGACATCTAAATATTAGAAATTACTACCTTCTAGACTGAATTTATAAAAGGTAGTTAGCACGGGTTGGAACTACATTATACTTCTCTGTGAAGGGAATTTTGTAGTGCAGAAGTTCTCACATTTTAAAAAACATAATAAAATACTGAAGCGGATTTAGCATATGTTTACCAATAAAAAATTATAAAATTTCTCCCAATTGTACAGCTTAAGAATAAACCAACATAAGAGTGATAATACTGATAAGATAAAACAATGCCAGATGCATATCTAATTAATCAGCTTCCTTTAACCTCTTGTATTGTTGCTCTCTGAGTCATTAAGGTTTTCTAATCTGCTGCATGTTACAAACTTGTTCCTAACTTTGAAAACTGCATGAAAAATTACTAGGTCTGAGGTTCAGGCACACCCGGATTTATTTTGTGTGTGTGTGTGTGTGTGTGTGTGTGTGTGTGTGTGTGTTTTGTATTTTGTATTTTTTTAGTTTTTACTTTACACAGTAGTGAACAGGAATCACAGCATACAGGTTACTGTGTTTCCATGAAAAGCAAGGATAATATTGAACGAAATTCATTATCAATTAGAATTTATTTTCCTTCTAGAAAAACGATTAGGCTTCATTTGTCTTTTCTTCAGACACTTGCTCACTACTCTCGCCTACTTTTTGTCCTAAGCTGCTTGCTTGACTTTCAGCCCTGTCATCCTTCATCAGACCTTCAGTTTTTGCTTCTTCTCCCTCATTCTCTGCCTCTTCTACCTCTTCTTCTTCCACTTCTTCCTCCTCCTCCTCCTCTTCCTCATCCCCTTGTGGTTTTTCACATTCTTTTTCTTCCTGCAATTCTTCCATCTCTTTATCCTCCTCCTCTTCCTCTTTTTCACTGTCTTCATCCTCTTCCCTTGTCAAACTCTCTCTCTCGTCCGAGTCGCCCTGTGAGGGAGACGCCCTGGCACCCACGTGCTCATTCGAGAGGATTTCAGGCCCTGCCTCTTCCTGCTCTGTGCTGTCACGTTCTTCCGCTTCTCTCTTACAGTAGGAGTAGCGATGATTCATGTGTTGAGAATAAGACCCAGAGTGTGAGAAGCGCTTTCCACATTTGTCACATTGATAGGGCTTTTCTCCAGAATGTAATCGCATGTGTTCAATCAAATGATGTTTGTGTTTAAATGCCTTTTTACAGATTCCACACTCATGAGGTCTTTTACCTGCAAAATAAGAATTCTGTTAAATAAAATGGTGGTATTCAGCAAATAAAATCCTTATACGGTTTTTGGGGTACTTCATGTTGTAGAAAGGGGAGGGTTATTAGTTTCATTTTTAAAACATTTCCAGGTCCCAAACTCTTTGTAATATAATATTGCAATTTGGTTTGTTCTTTACATTAAAAAACGTAGTGCTCTACACTCTGCTGTGCAGATGATTAGGTCAATGGGAGCTACATGACATTGAAATGCCAAAAATACAAGCATCATGACAGCGAGGTGGAAAATGGGCCAAGTGCAGCTGGGAGGAGATGTCTGGTAGTGAACGAGCACAGTGAGGGCAGACAGGGACAGACTTGCTGCTCACCTTGTGTTCATTATCACTACAAGGTCCCTTTTTAGTCATTTTGTTTTCCTAGTCACAAGCTCTGCTCCCAGTGAAATTTTAATGTTTACTATACACTTTTTATATACGATAAAACTCATAAATATACAGTATATATACTGAGCTTCTTTAGAAAACCACAGCCATTGTAGTATCTCAGACTTTTTTGCCCCCTAAGAAACAAGTTTTGGCCCGTGAGGGCAATATTGCCCCTCCTGAGAACGCATGGGCTACAGGAGTGTTGCTGCCCAGACATGAAAAGGACTGGCAACAACTGATCATAGTCAGGATCGATAATGTCCAATTTCAGAGCTATCAAGCAGTTAACACTAACAAATGCAGAAATGATTTTTAATTTTAGAAATAGTGTAGTTTTTCATATATATTTTTCACTTTGATATTTGCTAATATTTAACTTTGCCTGAAGAGGAAGGGGATTTTCTAACTCTTCTTAGATCTCTGAAAACCAGAGGACTGAGTTACAAGGGGCTGATTTTGAGAGGTGTGACTTTCTCTTATGTAACCAGTTTTTAGCTCCAAGAACCTTCCAAGTGTCACTGTATGAATCCACAGATTGAAGAAGGAAAAACAATTCTATCTTTTCTCACAAGAGTAAAAAATACACTGAAACAGTTAAGAATATGAAAGATAAATATGGATACTGTAGTCATAATGGCTGGTAGTGGGGGCAGGGAAGAGCAGGTAGGGGATTAAAGAGCTCAGGATAAACCCAGCCCCTTCTACAGCAACCCATGTTAGAGAGAGACACAGGAGTGTGCTGGAGCCAGTTTGTACTGGCTGGAGAGAGTCTACTGCTAAATTTTCAGGAATTCTGCAAGCTGACATCACATTCAAGCTCGAAATCCACCATGATGGGAGTATTTATGCCACAAAAAGCTGCAAACACTACAAATCAGGGCTTCCCCACCCTTCAGAGAACCAGGTGTTAAAATTTATCAGTACTTCACTGATGGAAGGAATGAAATAGGCCAGGAGTTGGCAACTATTTTCTGTAAAGGGTAGTGAGTATTAAAGGCTTTGCAGGCCAAATGGTCTCTGTAGTAGCTTCTCAATCCTGCCATTGTAGAACAGCATGAAAGCTGACATAGACAAAATGTAAATGAATAGGCGATGCTGTCTTCCAACTAATTTTATTTACGGATGCTGATATTTGACTTTCACATAATTTTCATCAGTCATAAATATTCTTTTCATCTTTTCCAATCATTTAAAAATGTAAAAACAAAATCAAAAACTACCATTCTTACCTCATAGAAAAACATGCGTATGCTCACATTTGGCCTGTGAGCTATAGTTTGCCATCCCTGAGTCAACCTAAGGAGGCATATTTTGTGGCAGAATTACAGGATCTCAGAATTACAGGATCTTAGAATCTTCTAGTCCAACCTCTTAGGCAGAACTTCTTACTTAAAACAAAAGATCTTGACTTGCCAGGACAGCTTGCCGCATGCTTATGAAGCAGCTTTTTCTTTTATGAAGCCAGATCCTGTCTCCCTATGACTTTAGCCCACTGGTCTCATATTTTTTATTAATGGGTACTATGTACTATGTTTTTATTAATATAGCATAAGCTTGCATTAAATGAATGCGGACAGAATAAATGCTGTGTCAGCTTAAAGGAAATAAGTCATGAAAAAAACAAAAAAACAGATGAAGCAAAAAACCAAAAGAAAGGCACAGACCTTAAGTACTAGGTAGAAGTGGGCAAACAGGTGAAAATGGCCAGATCAGATAAGTAAAAAATAAGAAAATTAATTCTGGGTCAAGCGTGGTGGCTCATGCCTGTAATACCAGCACTTTGGGAGGCCGAGGTGGGTAGATGGCTCGAGCTCATTAGTTCAAGACCAGCCTGGGCAACATGGCAAAACCCGTCTATATCAAAATTGGCCAGGTGTGGTGGTATGTGCCTATAGTCCCAGCTACTCAGGAGGCTGAGATGAAAGGATGGCTTGAGCCCGGGAGGCGGAGGTTGCAGTGAGCCGAGATTGAGATTGCGTGCCACTGCACTCCAGCCTGGGTGACTAGAGCCAGACCTTGTCTCAAAACAAAATAAAAAAAAAAAAAAAGAAAGAAAATTCTAAAACTTTAGTTTTTAATTTTGCATCTTCCAGTATATCATATCATGGACACTTTATGTTTGTGTTCACTGACATACCTGTGTGTTCATATTTATGTCTCAATAATGAACTACTCTTTTGGAATATCTTGTCACACAAATCACAAGCATACATTCCATTTTCTGTCTTCCGCATTTTCTTTTTGGGCGGTGTAGAATCAGAGTCATTCTGATCCTCTACATTTGATACTCCTTCTGAGCTAGTATCTTGTCTTTCATCCTAGAGGGAGAAAGGTGTGAGAAAATGTAATTTAACATTAAAAGATAAACAAGAGATATACATAAAAGCATGAGATAAAGAACTACTTTAACTTATACTTTTATACTTTCAAGGACTTGACCAAAGCAAGCACACTGATCTTCACTGCACATGTGCCCCAAGGGTGGGGCCAGATCACAGGTGGAGATGACAAAGACAAGAGTGAGGTTGGGGATAACACAGTCAAAACCATAGCAAAGACATATACTCAACTGGTACTGGAAAGAAAGCAAGGACACCGAAAAGAAAGCATGTAAAATATATAGTAACAGAGTTTACCTAGTTTCATGTGAATCATTACTTTACGAGAAATTTGCAGAAGGTTTTAACTTATTAGTTTGCTAATTAATCGCTCATTACTAACTGCATCTTTTGCCTTCATTTTTCTCATTCTGGGTTTCACTAAGCAAAAGCTAACATTCTATTTTTAAAACCTGGTCTTTCAATTGTATCCTCCAGAACTTCAGGGTTCTTTAACCTCCACGGTCTCCTTGAAAAGAGAGAGGTGTGCTCTACCACTTGTCTAAGGAGCAAGATGGAAAAACAATGCAGGAGGGTCTATCTTTTTAACAGAAATAATTGCTAATCAAAATGAACCTTTAGAAACTCCAGGCAGTCTCATGGAGATAATTTTGGGCAGCACGTTCTTATGTAAGCCAAATAACCCTGCAGGGAGCCTGTTGTGGAACTGGGTCCCCTAAGATCTTCCTACCTTATCTAGAGTGTTCCACGCCATTGCCTCAAACCCACACATTTTCTAAAAGTTGAAGGTTTTTCACAACATTTCTTATGGCTCTATGAGGCAAGAGAGGTGCAGCCATTTGTCCCTGTCATTTGTGAGTGGCCCTGGTGCTGAAGTAACTTGATTCTACTTTCACTGCTACTTGATCTAGTCACGTGACACGTGAGTCTATGAAATGCTAAGGATGGCTCTTTTTCTATTCAAAGGCATGCAAAGTGTTCTGTACACTAAAAATTTAGAGGAATTCAATGATCACGTAAGAACTTTTTTTCAAGAGTTATCACAATTACAGGAAACCCAATCAATAGCAATATTTAAGGGAAAACAAAAGCAGCAAATACAAGTTTGAGCAGGATATTGAAATTATTATACTTATAGAAAATATTTGCATAAAATATCAAATTTGTCTCTAGTATTCATTTGATTCCATCAGAAATTGATGGAAAAAATGGGAAAACATCAACATCAGTGACATGGAAAAAGTCTGGACAATGAGGCATACAATAGCTCTATCCAAAACTATTGTGGATTTTGGGGTAAGACCAGTTCAAGGGTTCTTCCTGGACAGAATAAACACTGTTGTGGTAAACACTGTGATAGTTAAGGAGGAAAATGCATATGTATTTTTAGGTTCACAGCCACACTTCCTCATATACATTATGACTGAACACTGTTTATGCACAGTTCATAAAATGATCAGTAAATTCACAAGATGCGTTCTTTGTATACTTCATTCCTGTTTATTTAATTAAAACCTTTTATAAACAGATGTATTAGTATATAAAAGTGATAGATAAGTTTGCCTGGTATGAACCTGTGAATGGGAACATATTTTCATTAATTAATGACCATAATCAAGGCAGAAACTATTACTAATTTTAGGAATTTAGCTATAAAAACAGAAACCCAATTAGCGAGTATTTCAATTTTGTTTTTTGATTTCTAACTTCAAACAGGTTTTTAGCTGGGACTTAAAAATCATCTTTCAGTAGAATAGCATTTCAAACTTTAAGCTGGTAACAATACCCTGGATTAGCAAACAACCAACTGAAGACATCATGCCAGAAAAGTTAAAGCAAACATTGATCCTTTTAAAAATGACAGTTTGTAATAATCTAGTTGGCTCTACGGGACTGATATTTATTAGACAAAGTTAATTGAAATTAGTCAAATAGCATATTACTAGCCAGGTTCAGGATGGAGGTTATTTTTTACCTGATTTCCATTTGGCTGGATCACTTTCAAGGGTGGTTCTTGGACTGCAGGGCTGACCGTAGTTGAGTAGGTGTATGCCACCTGGGGAATCAGAATCGTTTGCTTATTGGCAGCTAGCGCTCTTAAGCATGGAACACTGTTCTGGTCAGCAATGGCCACGATTGTGGGTAACTGGGCAGTGACTGTAGGTATAGCGATATTTATGGGGTTGGCACTTGGTGGGATTACATTTACAACTGGTTCTGAGTCTGTAACACAACTGTCCTTTTGTGGCTCCTTTTTTGCGCAAGACAAGTTCAAGGGTTCTTCCTGGACAGAATAAACACTGTTCTGGTAAACACTAGTGATAGTTGACCTTTCTAATAATTCTCCCTGTTGCTTTGGTAGTGAAAGATCAAGAGGTTCTACTTGTGGCTCTTCTTGTGCACCCTCAGCTGTGTACAAGTAACCCTGTGTATTTCTGGATGAGGAAAGGTTTAGAGGTGATGGGGATGGTGTACTACTTCTGGAACCATTGGTGGTTGATCCCACTGGTAAAACTGGGGAGTTAGTCATCTTCAAAGGACTTTGTAGATTTACTGTGCTGTCCTGGGGTTCATTTGCATTTGCAGATTGAGGCTGATCATTGTTCTTGGCAGGGATATTTACTTTGCCTGGTTCAGGAGAAGATGGTTCAGAAGACTGCACTGAAATCTGTCCAGCTTGCATCTTTTCAAACCACTTTTTTACTACATCCAGTGGTAGGTTTACTGAATCAGCAATTTTTGAGAGCTCTTCTGCACTTGGTTGTGCATTCAAAGCATAATATGCTTTTAGGAGAGACAAGAGGTTCTTTAAAGGTGGCTGACTAGGAGACAAATTGCCATCTCCAGTAGCTGATGAAACAGAGGACTCAGGCTTCTCAGCTTCTGCTGCAGGGAGTGGAGGAGGCTGAGTAGGCTGCTTTAGGTCATAGTGCTTTAATTCTGGAAGTGCATTAATATCTCCTGGACAATCATCACACAGAAGACAAGTGCTATCATTCACCCCCCCTTCAAAGCTTTTGTCCTTCTCAGACTTAACAGTAAGATCTTCTGGTAACTTTTCACTTTTACAACTGTTTGTAGCGACTGGATTTTCTTTTTTTAAATTTTGAGGAACAACTTGAAGTTGGCTAGGCTGCTCAAGACTGTAGTTGATGATAATTTTGGTTGTTCCATCTTGATCAACCAAAGGAAGACTGATGGCTGAAATAACAGAATGGCCACCTTGTTGTATGGGTGAAGCATTGATTGTTTCTTGTTCTTTGGATGCAAGATTGGCTTGATTATTCTCCAACACTTGCCTTATTACATTACCATCTACCGCCACTTTAAGTACATTCTGAATATCACTTAAATTGATACTTATGGGAGACACCAAACCAACTGTTGGCAGAACAACAGCTTGCACCATGCCCTGAGGAGAACTGGTTGCCTGTAATGGGCCACCACCAGTGAAAACCCCATTTTGTAAAGGGGTTGAACAGTTGATTCCTGAAGCAACCACTATGGGTTTGAATTCATAATCCACAGGTTCAGTTTTAATTTGGTTAACAGAAAGTTGTTCTTGAAGGGGTTTATTCTCTATCTTTTGCCGTATCTGTGGTCGTGTGGGACTGCCTGGTGATGCTGAAAGAGACGGTGAAGAACACTGAGATGTCTTGAGTCCTGTTCTTGGTCGCCCATTCACAGGTATCAAGCTGATACATTTCTTACTGCTTATGTGTGAGCTATAGGAGCCAGAATGGGAAAAGCGTTTCTTGCAGTTTGGGCATTCATATGGCTTCTCTCCTAAACAAACAAACAAACAAATTATATTCACTGAATTATTACATATAAATTTTTATGTATCCTCATTTCCCTAAAACAAGCGGTATCAATTTTAAAAAGAAGACTGCCATGCATGCTTGTGACAGAACTGTATTTAGAATAAACTTTTTAGCTTCAAAACCTACATAGATGTGATGAACGCTAGTAACTAAGTCTGAGGTACATGTTCTGCTAACCAATCATGGAATCTTCTCAGCATATGTGTATAATATTTCCACCAATCTTTATAACTTCAAATAATTCTCAAGTATCAAAAGTAATTACATTCTACTCTTTCAAGTATGTTTTTTCTTATCCCATTTCACCGACCTATATAATTTTCTATATTTTACTCTACTCAACCATCTGTAGGAGAAATATTAAAGAAAAGAAAAATAAGTAAAATGTCCCATATGACTTAACAAGTATGAATATCTATCTTTGATTAATAATAATTCCTGTACCCATAGGGCTTTCTTGAAAATAGTTTTTCCCTAATGGGAGGAAAACTTATATAAGATATTCTATAAGCATTGGCTTATTAAACTGAAATGTATATACTCCCAGGATAAACACTGTAGTGGGTATCAAAGCACCTTGGAGTTTCAATTTTAGTGACAGTGGATATGATAAAACATTATTTTTATATTAAAACAGAGAAAAACACATTTGTGTGACTTGCTAGGAAAAGCCACGCACTGTCAAAGTAGCCTTTGGCTTGCAGAGGCTTCCCTCAAGCTGCTTCCCTAGACTCTGTGGGGTAAAAGGCATTTATTCTCCTTGGCTGTTAGGGATACTTTGGTAGAAAATTTTGAAAGCACCGAGCTAAATGGAATATTTTCCTACAAACCTAATGTTTCCTTTGAGTTTTAAGTTATAGTTCACTAATTTATAATTTAAAGGTTACAGACTATAAGCTTCAGTAAGGCAGGAGCCTCTGAGGCTTGTTTGCCATTTATCCCTTGCACCCATCAAAGTACAGGTTGCAAAGATGCTCATTAAACCTTTTTTGGATGAGTGAATGGCTAATTGTTGAATGATGAGATGTGATGACACTGATTTGTCTACTTAGTATCAAAATAAAACTCTCCATCTCCTGCTCTTTTTAAGAATTAAAATGAAAGCAGTGAGGAATCAATTTAAGCCCTACTAAAAATTGCTTAATAGTAACTTCAATGCTATAGTTTAAACATGTGAGTTATATTTTCTAATAAATATGATTATTTGAAGAATCATATATAAGAATTGGAAGAGATTTAAGAAACCCTTGTAGTACAGCCTCCTTTTCAATGAAGAGTTCATTTCATATCATTCTTGACACCAGCTAATCTCTGCTTGAGCTTCTTTAATAAAAGGGGAGTTAGGACCTGCTGGACAGCCCTGCACAAGATGGTCCTGTCTGGTTCTGTTGAGGTCCATGGATTTGGGTTCAAATCCTGGCTCCATCACATAGTATTTTCTTAACCTGTCCAAGCCTTAGTTTTTCAATGTGCAAATGCAGATACATTCTCATTGGACTGTTATAGGGGTCATATGAGATTATATAGCAAAACTCTTAGTATGCTCTCAACAAATGCTAGTCACTTTTTAAAAAGGCAATTCTACTAAGAGACAGGCTGAGTTTGAGCCAAAAAAATAGCTATGATGCCTATTTCCCTATCCTAGTTTGTCCTGATGCCACACAGAACAAGTGTAACTTTTCTTCTCAAGTCAAACCTTCAAATGGATCAAGAGCTGCTATATGTATTCTTAAACTTCTCTTATATAGGTTAAATATACCTAGGTCCTTCAAACATTCTGCACAGGATGTGGGTTTTAGAACCCTTACCTGCTTGTTAACCCACCTCTGGGGATTCTCCAATTTATCAATATTTTTCCAATGCGATGCCTGGAATAGGATTCAATTCTCAAAATACAACAGACAAAAGTTTCCAGTGGGGGTAAAACAAGGAATATACTCTAGTACATCTCTATTTTAACACTTTTAATTACTTGATAACATTTTTACATGAACTACATGCTTATTTTCCTTCTAGAGACGCTAGAAAGATAAACATCTATAAATACAGACTATTTTTTAAAACAGGGGGACAGAAATGGTACGTAAGGGAATGACTTTGGGTCAGGATGACTACATCACAGCCCTAGCTTTGCCATGTACTACCTGAGTGACCTTGGACAAGTTAATTAAGCCCTCTGAGCCTCAATTTTCTCATCAGTAAAAAGTAGAAAATAATAAAACCTACTCCATAGGGTTATCCTGAGGACTATATGAATTAATGCATACAAATAACTAACATGTGGCTATACATAGCTAAGGATCCAATAAGTGCTAGTTATCATTATTATTGTTAAAAATTATCTTGATATTTTATCATTGCCAGAAAGAAAGTTTACACAACAATTATTCTAAAGCCAAAGTCACTATATTTGTTAATTTAAAACTCCTTGTTTCTAGCTTCATAGCTTTACAGTTTATTAGTTAGGCATATCACTAATTTATCTATGGAGGTTAGGGTTTACAAGTATTTTAGCCTGAAGGTTACATCAGGAAGTTTCACTACTCAAAGTTCGGTATACTATGTATACTGACTTTTTTTTTTTTTTAATGGCTAAGGTGGGTGTTTGGCTGCATCTGATACAAAAATTTTCCAGGCAAAAATTACTAAGACCATGGAAAATTATTTTTGGGGGTGGACCACAGCCATATGCAGGTGTTCTTTTGTCTCTAATCTGAGTGGAGGTCTGGTAGCCTTTTCCTCATGATAGCTCAATTCCTACAGGTAGAATCAACTAATTATTAACACACACGGTTCTGCATAGGGTCATGATCAAAATTTTTTGGGTACCAGTATTTAGCAACAATATAGGTAATTTTAGAGAGTATAATTTTGGATCCTGATTCTCAACATCTTTTCAAAAGTCATGTGAAAAGAAAGTTATGGAGGTTTCCTAAAAGATATTCAGCTCTTCCATTATTAGATACCCTAGGCAGAGCTTTTCAAACTATTTGTGGTGAATGACCAGTTGGCTTTGTTTGGTTCTTTTTTAAGTTTCCAATCTACTGTGGACCAATATTTTATAAAATATAGTAAAATGTCACAAAGTCTTGGTATAATAAATGCTAAATGCTTACTCTCAATTTCTGTACTTATCTCAAGAATGAGTAACACAGGGTTTGCAGACTGGTACCAGTCCTGAGATGTCACTTTGGGTAGCCTTTGCTCAAAAATCTTCTCTTGGAATCAACCAGACCATCAGAGAGCTGTGTACTTAAACTGTATCTACGTGGCCACCCTGGAGCAATGCTTTTCCTAAATAGCACTTTGGTGAACTATGACTGGCTTCTATTGAATAATCTGATTTAAAAAAGAAACCCTATCAAATTCTCTGCTGTGTTATTTTAAGGATATTTCTGAGGATTATATAACTTCTGTTTTGTTCTTTTCTCTTTATGTTGTTCCAAGGAATAACGTTTTCTATGGACTTGGTATCAGGAAGGAAGAATAGTCCTTTTTCTAGCAACTGATTTTTTTTTTTTTTTTTTTTTTTTTTTTTTTTTTTTTTTACTTACAGACACCCTGGGTCTTGGTTACTGATTGTCATTTTCTTCCTAAACCTTAGAGCTTAATTTGTGGTCCACTTCCAGCATATGTATGGCATTTCACAGCATTCATTTTGTCCCCCCAACAATTTACTCCATGTTAGTGTTTCTTAATTTTTCCTACATATTTTTAAATTAAAATTACTTGCTATGTTAAAGGTATACAAGCCTCACATTAGATGTTTTAAAAACAAGACAGAAATAAGTACATACATAATGAGTGGACAGTGCAGAGTACAGTGGGAGCTTTGTGTTCCATGATCTGGCCTAAATTTGCATTAGCTTTTGAGCAGTATCAGCATACAGTCAGCTCATATTAAGCTCTGGGCCATTCAAATTTACTACTTGATTGAGACTGATTTTTAAATACCAATGCTTAACTTTCAACTTCTTATTTCTAGACCAGTATTTCAATCCTTGTTCTGATTTATACTTTCCAACTTTGTATTATTTATAGATCTGATAAATCTTCCATGACTGCAATATGACAAAATGAATATGACTCATTATATACATGAATCTTACTGTTAGCTTTATTTTCCTTCCTCTGCCCTGATTTCAACATTTAAAAATCCCTCTTGAATTAGCTATATCTTTATTAACAACTTTAAATCATCTCTGGTAAGAAGGTAGGTTGTTAAAATATATTATTATTGATAAAAATTGTTCAATAGCATAGAAGCTAAGAAACAGAATATTGTGGCAGGCTGCAAAAGACAACCTCTACTTTTTAGAAACAATAATCAATGTGTGAAAATAAATGTTTTGGTAAGGATCTTGGTTTGAGCATTTTCAAGTGGTAACTTCAGCACGTTTAACATTGAGGGTTAGCCTTAATGAGCAATACAGTAAAACTTTTAGAAATGCAGTTCCAAAATAAAACATAAATATCATCAACTATGCTTCACAAAGCTATCCAACTATACTTTTTTTGTAGGAAGATGTTTGTAAAATGTAAATGTCAATACATAATTTTCACAAAATAAGCAATGTGTGAAAACCCATAATTTCCCATTCATGGTTAATAATTTTTTCATTAAAATGATTTAAATCTAAAATAACATATCAAAATTTATCAGGAGATGAACAGATTTCATAGGGCATTGTGGGATACCAGCAAGTTTTCCTTTTGCGCTTTTGTTCAAGTAGTGTCTCCAAAGAAATGCAAATATAGCTCTCTGTTTACTCTGAGTTCCTAAAATAGACACAACACTTTCATCGCATAATAGTATTAACCTTGTAAGTAATAATTTACAGAATGACATGGAATAGACAGGTGAAGATGGTGGGTGAGCACATTTTTCTTTCAGATTCTCATTAATGCTGTAATCCTTTCACTCCCTCTCATTGCCTCTATATCAGCTCTCCAATATTTTCTAATCTTGAGTTCCATTTCAACTTTTCTCAAATAAAGGATGTCTTCACTTCCCTATTCTCTTGTGCAAATCGTATCTCTATACTCTTTTCCATTCCCCTGCTAATTGTGCAAAGGAGGCAATGACATTTACATTCATCAGAAAGCTAATATGTTTTCAGGTTGTACTTACTAAAACATGCTATATTATCTTCTGATTAGGAAATCTGGAGTATGTCATACTATATTAATTTGATATACTTTAGTCAAAGGTTAAGACTCTAATAAAACATAAAATAAACATAAAATTTCTCCCAATTAGTGTATGCCAAAAGAAATGCAAGGAGTTTCTGATCATGTACGTAGATTACATGTTATGATATTTATTTATTACCACATATGCTATGATATTCAGGGTATAGAAAGAAAAAAAATATTTACCACTGTGAATTCTTAAGTGCTCTTTTAGGTGATGTTTGTATTTGAAAGCTTTTCCACACTCAGTGCATTTGAATTTACGATTACACCCAGACTGCGTCACATGTCTCTGTAAGAAAAGAACTGGTATTTTATTTGAAAAGCAAAAGATCTTTAGACTAAAGAACATCCAATCTACTAAGAGTGACATTTTTGTGAGCCTGATGGTTGTTTTGTTTTGTTTCTTAAAGACCTCAAATTGCAGCAGTCACAAAAATCTAACTCTTGAAATTATTAGCAGTTGTAGCAGTCACAAAAATGTAACTCCTGAAATTATTACCAAAAAGGATAGTGATAGTGGGGACAGAATTTGATACAGAAAAATACCAACTTTCTAAAGTATCAGAGTTCATCCTTTATTAAACAATATTCAAAATTAGTAAAAATAAAGTAATATATACTTTGCTAGGAACTAGAGGTTAACTTGTTTGCTTTCCAATTTATAGATATAGAAACCGCATCCACAAATACTGAATAACCTGTCTAAAGCTCACTCAACAGAACAAGGTCCTGAATAGAAGACAGGATTTTTCCTGTACTTTATCCTGTCTCTTCTATTTGATATTTCCAAAATGTACTTTAATCTGATGATTAAAAAAATACTTCCAGTTTTTTCAGCCAAATGTGGATTATTATAATAGCTTTCTGTCTGGTTTATCAAATTCCCATTTTCACATATTTCAAATGTATTCTTCATACTTAGATTAATCTTACAAAAGCACTGCTTGAATTGCATTCTATCAACTCCTCCTCATAAACTTCTGAAGGATCCCCATTAACCCCTCAATAAAGATTCCAAGTCTACAGATTCCAAGATTATAGTCCCTGAGTTTCCAAGATGATTCTTCACCAGTTTTTTATGACAAGTCTATGCCTCAGTCATTTAGCGAGCCATGGTTTTCTGCACACATATTGCTCCTCTTTATCTTTTGGCTTTGGTTTACATAATTTCTTACTCCTTCACTGTGTTTTCCCATAATTTTGACTACTAAGATTCTACCCAGCCTTTAACGGCTTAACTCAACTACTGCTTCATGCTCTTCCAGCTGGAATCTCCCTTCCTTTGCCTTTTATACAGGAAGGAAAGAGAATTAGTACTTACTCTGAATCAGGTCCTACTTCACTAAAACCCATGACTTAAAATACCAAATATATGGTGGCGACTCCCACATTTGTATCTCTAAACCTCTCCCCTTAACTCCAGACTTTTACAACCAACTGCTTATTTGATATTGCCAGTTGGAAGGTGATAGAGATCTGAAACTTAACATGATTAACACCAAACTCTTAATTTCCCTCCTGCAAGCCAGCTCCGTCTTTAGTATTTCCTATCTCTGTGAATAGCACTATCATTTATTTGGTTATAGCTTAGGCCTTAAACTTTGGAGTTATTCTTGATTACCCTCTTACTCATGTACCCTCACCCAATCCATCAGCAAGCATATGAACATATTCTGAAGCCAACAATCTTATTTATCTGTCTGCCACCAAAACCTCTGGCCTAGATTACAGCAAAAGCCTCTAAATGATCTCCCTGCTTCCGTTCTTGTCTCTCTTATCTATCATCCAACAGTCAGTGTTCCCCTAAAAATAAAAATTAAAAATTCCTGGATCCTTGACAGGCATCCCCACTGCACTTTAGAATACAATCCAACGTCTTTATCTTGGCCTATAATATGTAGCCCCCAACACCTCTCTGGCCTTACCTTTCTCCCTTTCACACTGGCCTCTGCTGTTCTCAGTGTGTGCCCAGCAGGTTCTGGCCTCAAGGCTTTCTTATGTTTCACTGTTTCCTCTGACTGGAATGCCCTTCTCCAATATTCCATGACTGGCTCCTTCACTGTATTCAGATATCCCATTCTCAGAGAAGTCTCCCTTCTCTGTGAAACCTAGCAGCTTTCATCACTTTCTATCCTCTTATCCTGCTGTATTTTTCTTCACAGTATGTATTATTTTATTTCTGTTTTATATAATCTACTAATGTATGGTCCCTAATATCAGGGACTTCCTTTTTGACTACTGTGCCTTTAACACCCAGAAGAGGGCCTCACATATAAAAGAAACACAAATGTTTGTTGAATAAACAAGTTAATAAGACTTGAAAATGCTTGTTAGTCACAGTATGATTCTCAAGGGCCAGCAAAATATACATTCTACCTTTTAGTTTGCTGCCTTGCAAACTAAATTGTTTCCAAGACCTCCCAGTTATATTTCCTCACATTACTGGTCCCCATATTTATCACAGCTCCTTCCTGACCTTAGTCTGACCCACGGTTTATATGTAAATCCTACTACATTTGCACCCACTGGAAAAATCATCATAGAATTGGTTTTCATGCTCATCAAAGATTTTGGAGTTTGTTTTTATAATGGCATCTTCTGCTTTCGCCACCAGTTCAATCTGTCCTCTCCTTTCACGATGGCCCTTGGAGTAGAGGGAATATGGTGGCAGCAGCTGCAGGATGGGTCTGCTTCCTGAATGTCACGTGAGTAGGCTCTTTCCCAAGCCTTGTCTACACTGTGGCCACATCACAGCGCTAAGGTATAAAACATACTCTTCTGCTGGTCTCTCTGATAAGACTCATTAATAGGGGCACTAGGAAGGAGACGGAGTTTGCCTTCAGTCGTCCCTTCTCTGTATTAATTTCGTCCTTCTCTTGGAGCTCTCACCTGTTTCAAGTGCTCCTTCATGGGCTTATGGACCATAAACCTATAAAATCTTGGTTCTATTCTCCCTGATTGCCACCCTCTTCTTATTATCTTGTTATTTCATGAGTACTGTTGCCAAAGTACTAAGGAAATAGGTTGACTCTGCTCAGTCATTCTTTTTCTGTTACAATTCTTTTTTGTTGTTTGTTTGGCCTAGCCATCACCTTAGCAAATGGTCTAACTTGTTCTCTATGGGATATGTGACACATATTAGGTACATCCATAGGGCAGAGTTCAGGTATGTAGATATACATCATTCTTTGATGTAAGAAACTGGAAATGTGGCCTAACCCCAACATGTACCCTCACAAACCCTGTGTGGCTGAAAATTTATTTAATTTTTAAAGTTAGAATTAAGGCAATATTAATTTCATTGTTGATGGCTGATAACTATGAGGACCTTGTAAAAGAGGAACAACTGATAAAAGCTTTTTTGACTTTAATCCTAAATATAGAACCAGCAATTTAAATGTAACTTATAGTTACAAAACAGTCTTGGTTTATACTTCTGAAAACTGGGGCACAGTGACACAGAAGTAGAATAAACCATATAAAAATTGAGTCTTCAGAATAAAAAAATCTAAACTTTAGATTTTTAGAGGAGGCAACTCCCTTTACTACGGGGGAAAAAAACCACGTAGCTTATACTGAGAATAAATAGTAACTGGTTCAAAGAAACTTAAACTTTTTAATTTGACTTTCTTGTCAATTTGGTTAGTATAATGTGGTTTATATAGTCAGTACTTATTTTTCCTACACTGAACATTTTAATAGAATGCAATTTAACATCTTCTAAACTTGAAGAATTAACTGTTATGGCATAAGCAAAATAATTAAGTCAAGATGGAAAGGGTCTTACCTGAACAAAATACTGAGTTACCTCTAAAGTAACGTTCATATGTGGTTTTTAATCTCAGGAATGACCAGATAACTCAAATAAATAATCATTTTCACTTTTATAAGGCTGCAGATATAGCACTGTTTAGTACATTCTTTTAACTTTCAAATATATTAAAATCCTTGCCTTCCATTGAGGGCTGAGTTGTCAAAATCTGGAAAGTTAGTGAACTCTCAGTCATTGCACTTACTTGATCTCTTCCTGATTTATGTGATGTCATGTGACGTTCAAGTTGGGTTCTGTATGCAAAGGTGTAACTGCACAGGGAGCAACTAAAGTTATCTTCATTCTTTTCATGACGATATTTAATGTGTTCTTTCAGAGAGGTAAAGCGTTTATAGCCTCTATCACAATATGGACAGGTGAGTAATTGTGAAAATGCATCTGGTGTTCCTGTAAAAGAAAGATCATATATTTTAAATTTAAAACATTCAGAAAATATTACCAAAGTTTCCACTGAGTCCCTATGCTATGTTCCAGATATTGTGCTACCCACTTTATATTTGATCCTCAAAACAATGCAATGATACTCATCTCTATTTTATAAGAGAGAGAACAGTGGTTTCCAGGAAGGTTAAATAACTTAAAAGAAAAGTCACAGAGCCAGAAAATGATGAAGTCAGGGTTCAAATACGGGCTGTCTGACCTTCAAGTCCCATTCTTTTTCCCTAAACCATAATTCTTCCCTTTTGTCATGTGATTAGCTAGAAAAGAAAACAAAAGTAAAATTAGAATGTAGGTTGTCTTTGTAAGTGTATACAGATTAAAGGGGAATTTTGTGCTCTACAACAGAGTCTATTGGTAACAATGGTATGTATCATTATTTATTTAATGTTTATTCCTCTGATTTTGAAAATGAAACTACCAAGTCATCATCATCAAAGAGTAAACAGTACACACACACTATGTTTCCAAGAGTCCCTTGCAGGTAGGTGTGGCCATAGGACTGAGTTCAGACCAAAAAAATAGTGTGTAAGGTGGGGAAGGAAAGACTGATGGGGGCCAGATCTAGGCCTGCTACATAAACACATCCCATGCATGACCCTGCTTGTAATTTCCCCTATTGAAATACACTGGCAAATCTGCTATATAACTGTATATGTATGAATATATATAGCTTTTAGAAAACAAAGGCATTCTGAATAAATTAGTTTACTGAATGAACTTTATTTTTACACTTGGAGCTGTCTAAGCCTGACAATCCTAAAATGTAATATTTTGCCAATTAATATTATTTAACTAAGAGTAGTTTTCCATATTTGACATTTCTTCAATGAAATAAATTAAGTGATATCTTTTTGTAAACATCATCTCTATTTTCATTTTGAATTCACTATAGAAAAACAAACCACCACAGATAATTTCATAAAATCTCCAAGTGCTTTCTGAACATATATTCCTTTATTCAAGTCCATATAAATCAAATGTCTTGCTCAAGGACCAGACTGCAAATAATAGACTGAGCACCTGAATGTTAAATAGTTGGTCAAATATGTTGAGAGAGGGGCTTCAAGATGGCTGAATAGAGGCATCTGGTACTCACCTCCTCTACAAGGAAAAACCAAAATAATGAGGTAATAATCACACTTCACATAGATCATCTAAGAGAGAACACTGGAATTCAACAGAAAAGTGACAGGAAACACCTCAAGTAAGGAAGAAGGAAGTAAAGCAACCTGCAAAGGCTCTCCAATGCAGGGAAAGAGTAAGTGAGAGACCCCCAGGGGTCCACATTCCCACCATGGACTCCTGCAATCCTAGCCATGGGAGAACCCCTGGACCATCGTGGGCTCTGAGACTAACACAGGGAGGTATGTGGAGACCACATGACAATGCTGCTCCGGAGAGGGAGCTTATGCTGAATCTGTACACCCCCTGAGTTCTAAGTAGCTACAGCACAGCACTATTTTGAGAGCCCAACCCCCAACAGACTACATCCTGTTGAGCCCCACTGACATACCTCCCTTCCCAGTCATCACTAATGCTGGTTGCGGCTGCTAAGGCTGAAGTGCAAGCCATTGGCAGTGACCATACCTCCTCCCAGCAGAGGAGCTGCACACATTTTTACATGCCCCAAGGACAGACTCCCCAACAGACTGCTGCCACTGTGGGCTTCCACCGCTGGGGACAAAGTGCTAGCCACTGGCAGCGACCCTAATTTCCTCAGCAGCTGAGCTGCTAAGCATTTATAAGGGACCTGAGGACAGGCTACCCCATCCACAGCCGCTGTCTGGGGCTAAAGCGCACATTTCCCAGCTCCCTCCCTATGGCTGCTGCCACCAAGAGCAACCTTGCCCTCCCCAGTAAGAAGGCCACAGTGCAACCACTGATGTCCTTACCTGAGCACTCTGCTGGTGGCCTGGGATCATCCTGCCCCTGCCATGATAGCCAATGCCTACACACACCACCAAGGGGCCTGAGGACAGGTCCATCTGGCCCAGCTTACCTCCTCCCCAGTTTCCGAGCATGCTATTCAGGGACGTGGGGATGACCCAGCCCAGTCCAACACTGTTGTCACCTGAACACTCCTCCTGGAGGCCTGAGGTTGGGTCCACCCAACCTGCTACTATCACTACAGCTGGCACCCTCCTGCATGCACCACCGGTAGGCCTGGGGACTGACTCACCCAGCCCATTGCAGTCACTGCCAACACCAGCGTGAATCACTAGGGAACCAGAGGGTGTCCTGCCACTGCTACTGCCATTGCCCAAGTGACATCCACTGCCCAGGAGCCTGAGAACCTGCCCACCTGCCCAGCTTACCACTGCCACTACCAGCACCCAAGCAAGCCACCTGGAGTTCCAAGGATCAGCCCAACTGGACCTGCTAACACAAGGTGTCAATGTGCCACCCTGTGGTCTAAGGACAGGTACTGTAAGCCCGTTACTACCACTGCTAGGGCCCAAGGAATGGTCCACCTGGCATCCCTGTCCCAGCCAAACTTCACCTCAGCCTCCACTAACAATTGCACCTAAGCCAACGAGGAAATCACGGACCCTACTCACACTATTTATAACGAAAGATATCATACAGAAATTACACTACCACATGTACCCAGAATCAAAGCCAAAGTGCCCTACTCAACCAATGAAAGCAAATCCAAAAAACCAGAATAATTGACTATTATACCAGATGTGTGGTATCAAGGTAAGAATACAAGAAACATGAAAAAGGAAGGAAATATGACACCTCCAAAAAATACAATAATTATCCAGCAACAGATTCCAATCAAAATAAATTTATGAAATCCTGGAAAATGATTAAAAATAATGATCTTATAAAAGCTAAGTGAGATAGAAGAAAACAGAAAAGCAACACAAAGGAACCAGAAAAACAAATCAGGATATGAATGAGAAATTTACCAAAGAGGTAAGTATCATAAAAAAGAACTAAACAAATTCTGGAATTGAAGAATTCACCGAATGAAAGACAAAAGACAACTGAAAGCTTCAGCAATAGATTAGGTCAAGCAGAAGAAGAATTTTAGAACTTGAAGACAGGTCTTTTAAAATAACCTAGTAAGAGAAAAAAGAATAAAAGAACAATGAACAAAGCCTGTGTGACATATAAGAAACTATAAAGTAACCAAATATTCGAATTTTTGATGTGTTATAAGGCAAAGAGGAAACAAAAGGGATAGAAAACCTATTTAATGAAATAATATCCAAAAATTTCCCAAGTCTAGCAAAGGATTTAGACATCCAGATACAGAAAGCTCAGCGCACCCCCAAATAGATACAATTCAAAAAGATCTTCTCCATGGCACATTATATTCACTGTCAAAAGTAAAAGACAAAGAGATATTCTAAAAACAACACGAGAAAAGTGTCCAATCACTTGTAAGGGAACCTCCATACGACTAATAGCAGTTTATCAGCAGAAACTTTAT
The DNA here is from genome assembly GCF_000001405.40 of Homo sapiens. Lineage (NCBI taxonomy): Eukaryota > Metazoa > Chordata > Mammalia > Primates > Hominidae > Homo > Homo sapiens. The sequence continues at coordinate 31,507,176 of NC_000010.11, read as the reverse complement.
AGGCAAGGAGAGAAAGAAATGATATATTTATTCAAAGTATTGAAAGAAAAAAACCCTGCCAGCCAAGAATATCATACCCAGCAAAATTATCCTTCATAAATGAAAGAGAAATAAAGTCTTTCCTAAACAAGTAAAAGCTGAGAGAATTCATGACCACTAGACTGGCCCTACAAGAAATGTTTAAGGGAGTCTTATCCATGGAAGTGACAGGAAGATATCTACCATAATGAAAACACATGAAAATATAAAATCCACTGGTAGAACAAGTACAAATAAGAAAGAGAAAGAACTCAAATGTTACCACTATAGAAAACTATCAAACCACAATAATAATCAGTAAGAAAGAAAGGAACAAATGATACACAAAACAACCAGAAATCAAAATGACAGAAATAGGCTCTAACATATCAATAATAATAACATAAACGGATTAAACTTTCCACTTAAAAGGTACAGATTGGCTGAATGGATAAAAACTGTGACCCAGCTATGTGCTGCCTAGAAGAAATTCATCTCACCTGTAAAGATCCATATAGACTGAAAGTAAAGGGACAGAAAAAGATGTCCATGCAAATGGAAACCATAGTGAGCAGGAGTAGCTATAATGAGATAAACTCTTAAATCCAGTAAACAAAACAGTATAAGGGGACAAAGAAGGTCATTAAAGAATGACAAAGGAATCAATTCAGTAAGAGGATATAACAATTCTTAACATATATGTACCCAAGACTGGAGTACCTGGCTATATAAAGGAAATATTATTAGATCTAAAGGGAGAGACAGATTCTAATACAATAATAGTTAGGGACTTCAACACCCCTATCAGCATTAGACAGATCATGTAGAAAGACACTTAACAAAGAAACACTGAATTTAAACTGCATTTTATACCGAATGGATGTGAGACACTTACAGAACATTTTAACCAACTACTAAAGGATACATATTCTTGTCATCAACACACAGAACATACTCTAGGATAGACTGTATGTTGGGACCCATGACAAGTCTCAAACAAATTTTTAAAAATCAAAATCATATCAAGTAGCTTTTAGACCACAAAGTAATACAACTATAGATTTTAATAATAAGAGGAACTTTGGAAACTCTACACACACATGAAAATTAAACAACATGCTTTTGAATAACCACGGGGTCAAGGAAGAAATAAGGAGGAAAATTTAAAATTTCTTTAAATGAAATTAAAATTAAAATTTCTTTAAATGAAAATCAAAACAGAACATATCAAAACCTATGAAATATAGCAAAAGCACTAAGAGGAAGTATATAGCAATAAATACCTAAAACAAAAAATAGAAACATTTCAAATAATCTAACAATGTGCCTCAAGAACTTAGAAAAGCAAGAACAAAGCAAACCCTAAATTAGGATTTAAGAAGGAAAGAAATAATAACAATCAGAACAAAATCAATGAAATGAAGACTAAAAAACAACACAAATAACAAAACAAAAAGTTGGTTTTTTTGAAAAGGTAACAAAACTGATAAACCACTAGCTAGACTAAGAAAAGAACAGAGAAGATGCAAATAAAAAATGAAAAAGAAGACTAACAAATGATACCACAGAAATACAAAAGAGACAATTATGAACAACTATACATGAAAAAACTGAAAAACCTAGAGGATATGGATAAATTCCTGGACACAGCCTACCAAGATTAAATTAGAAAGAAATAGAAAACCTGAACAGACCAATAATGAGTAATGAGATTGAATCCATAATGAATATTTCAAGTCCGGGACTGAAAGGGTTCACTGCTGAATTCTACCAAACTGTCAAAGAAGAGCTAACACTAGTTCTCCTCAAACTATTCCAAAAAACTGAAGAGGAGGGAATTCTCCCTACTTCATTCTATAAGTCCATCACTATCTTGATACCAAAACCAGAGAAAGATGAAACAAAAAAAGGAAAACTATCCAGGTCAATATCCCTGATGACAACAGATACAAAATCCTCAAAAAAATATTCACAAACTAAATCTAACAGCACGTCAAAAAGATAATGCAATATGATCAAGTGGGATTTATCCCAGGGATGCAAAGATGGTTCACCTCCATATAATAAAGGACATATATGACAGAACCACAGCATACTGCATGGAACAAGCTGACAGACGTCCCTCTAAGAAGTGTAATCAGAAAAGGATTTCCACTCCTTCACCACTCCTATTCAACACAGTATTGGAAAGTCCTAGCCAGAGCAATTGGGCAAGAGAAAGAAATAAAAGCCATCCAATTTGGAAAAGAAGTCAAATAGTCTCTCTTTGCAGACTATATGATCTAATATCTAGAAAAACCTAAAGACACAACCAAAAAACTGCAATCTGCTAAATAAACTGAAAGTTGCAGGATACAAAACTCAACATAAAAATCAGCAGTGTTTCTGTACACCAATAATGAACTAGACGAGAAATAAATCAAGAAGACCATCTCATTTATAGTAGCTACAAAAAAGTAAAATACCTAGGGATAAATTTACCCAAGAAGGTGAAAGACCTCTCCAAGGAAAACTACAAAATATTGATGAAAGAAATTGAAGAAGACACAAGTAAATGGAAAGACATCCCATGCTCATGGATCAGAAGAATTAACATCATTAAAATGATCATATTGCCCAGAGCGATCTACAGATTCAATCCAATCCCTATCAAAATATCTATGTCATTTTTCACAGAAGCAGAAAAAACAATCCTAAAACTTTTACGGAACCACAAAAGACCAATATAGCCAAAGCAATCCTGAGCAAAAAGAACAAAGCTGGAGACATCGCACTACCTGACTTCAAAATATAATACAAGGTACAGTAAGGAAAACAGCATGGCATTAGTAAAAAACAGACACACAGACCAGTGGAAGAGAACAGAGAACCCAGAATAAAATCCACATTATTAACAGCCATTTGATTTCGACAAGGCACCAAAAACATACACCAGGAAAAGGACACACTCTCCAATAAATGGTGCTGGGAAAACTGAATATTAACATGTGAAGAATGAAACTGGACTCCTATTTCTCACCACATACAAAAATCAACTCAAGATCAATGAAAGACTTAAACATAAGACACAACACCATAAAACTAGAAGAAAACATACAGAAAACACTCAGGACATTTGGGTAGGCAAAGACTTTATTGCTAAGACTCAGCAAAGGAAACAACAGAGTGAATATCTGCAAATTACTCATCTGACAAGGGACTAATATGAAGAATACACAAACTATTCAACAGATTTAAAAAACCCAAATAATCCTATTGAAAAGTGGGCAAAGGATATGAATAAACATTTCTTAAAAGAAGACATACAAATAGCCACAGATATACAAAAAAATGCTCACCATCACTAATCATTAGAGAAATGCAAATCAAAACCACAATAATATATCATTTCATCCCAGTTAGTATTGCTATTAAAGACAAAAACTAATGAATGCTGGTGAAGATGTGGAGAAAAGGGAACTCTCATACATTCTTGGTGGGAATGAAAATTAGGACAGCCACTGTGAAAATACTACGGAGATTTCTCAAAAAAAACTAAAAATAGAACTATTATATGATCCAGCAATTCCACTACTGGGTATTTATCCAAAGGAAGTTGGTATATCAAAGAGATGCCTGGATCTTCATGCTTATTACAGTACTATTCACAATAGCAAAGATATGGAATCAACCTCAGTGTACATCAATGGATGAAGCAAATGTGGCATATACACACGAATGAATACTATTTGGTTATAAAAAGGGATAAATATGTAAACAAATGTCGCTGATATGACAGAATACTTCAAAATGCTTTATTAGCATTTAATTAAATTACATTAAATATCTGAAAGTAATGAATAACAAAATCAACAACTTATTCTATAATTCAAACTAATTCAGAATGGTAGTTCCTCAATTTTTAGATCGTACTGTATGGACCTGACAAACTTTAAAAGGTTTAACCTTTATTAGAACTACATAATGGATCATTTCTTTAGGTTTCATTGTTTCCTTTCAGTGAGGCTTTTTGAAAGCCTTTTGTCACATAAAAATTTTACGTAAATATACATATATTTTTAAATTTTGTATTTCCCTTTCATTTCTTTGATAACCTAGTTTCTTCTGGTGAAACAATAACATAGTCTTTTCCTCCCAAACTGTATCACAGCCTATTTCTTCTCAGGAGAGTCTGAACACATTTTTATTGCATTTTCCACACTCTGTACGCTGACTATTCATATCAGAGTGGACTAAGGCAGATTCAGGAAAACCACTGTTTCCAAATTAGTATGTTCTGGTATAAAGCAGACAACCATATTTTTATTTGTTAAAAGAATGGTGGGAAAGAATCCAAAGGGCAGTAAAGGTATAGTTCTCACTTCTACTGCCTGCTACCATGTAAGTAAATGGAATTTGATGTCCAGACACTGTTCTAAGCATTTCACGTGCAGTGGCATTACTACCACAATACATGAGCAGCTAATAATTTATTACTGCATGGTCATCATAGTGTTCCATTAATAAAACAGATTACTCTCTATAGGCACCTGTAATAAAGTTTGGTCTTCAAGAATGTTCCCTATAGTAGAGCAGGTTCCCATAGTAGAATGGTAGAAACAAGAATCCTTTAAAGAGGGAAAGAAACACAACTGTTAAGATCCATTTACCATTTTCATCATGACCACTGGCTTCTGGTGTGCCCTGCCTCTGGTCCTCTTCAGGTGCCTCAGGAAAAATGACAGCAGTGTCTTGTTGTTGTAGAAACTCTTCAACATTAGGATCATGGTTTTGCTCATTTTCTGCATCTGACTCGCATTCATCATCTTTTACTAAAAAAAATGCATACTTTTAAGACAGCAATCTCACCACTAAGTTATTACAAAGGTTTTCTAAATAAGAAATTATTTATCTTGAGAGAACATATGATTGTTCTTGAATCTGCAGAAAATATTTCTTGAAAATTAAAAATGAATTCCACTCATTTTGTTGTAATGTATTAAGATATATCTTTGCTTTATAAGTTTAAAATGCTATGAATGTGTGAAATTCTCACAGTATCCCTTTCAAATGTTAAAGTCATACTTCTATTGCATTTTACTAATAAAACACAGAGAAGGCAATATAGTTGACTGAATTCTTTCTCAATTAATGATAAAGCAAGAAAAAAACTTTAGTTCTCAAAGGTCACCTTCTTAGCAACCTATCATATCATAATACTTATTTAAAGTTGGACAATAGACAGCCCCTTATCTGTGGCTTCATTTTCCATGGTTTCAGTTACCTGTGGTCAACTGCAATATGAAATCAGGTGAATACAGTACAAGAAGAATAATTTGAGAGCGAGCGAGGGAGACCACATTCACATAAATTTATTAAAGCATATTGTTATAACCGTATTTTATTATAGTTCTTGTTGCAACTCTGTATAAAATTTATAAATTAAACTTTATCATATGTATGTATGTATAGGAAACAGTATAGTATATATAAGTATTTATTTAAGACACTCAATGGGGGACTCTTGGAATTTATCTCCCACAGATAATGGGGGGGGGAGCTCTACTTTAAATCTGAATAATTCTCATATAAACCACTCTGACGTTCAGTTCAGTTATATGATTTCTTAGAAAATAGTTTTTAATAATTATCTATAGTAAGAAGGATTTCTAATAAGCATCAAAGGGTATCAAATCTATGAAAACTCTTTCTTAGCTACGCTAGTATTCATATAAAACAAGCCTATTCTTTCTCTATTTCTGCCTCAGTAAATGTTTAACTGTGGGATTAAGGCAGTGGCAACTTTTCTTGAATTAGAAAGGCTTATGCTTTGAGAAGGTAGCCCAGCGTGCTGCCAAGTTTCTAAAGCATTATTGCTGCACTATGGTTTTCCTCCATTTCCTCCACTGGCTCCAGAAGAGGGTCTCTACTCCATGCTGGCAACTGCAATGCCTTAGTATGGCTCCCAAATGCCTCAGGGATGACTTCTTTATAGACTCTGACTGAACTGTCAGGTCTAAATTTGTAAAACAGCACTCCCCAGCAGGCTGAAGTTTGGCCAAATTAAAATGGGGATGTATGGGCATCTGTTTGTTCGATGGTTATTAAAACAATCTTGCTACATCTCCTGCACTGTAGCGGTAACCAAACTCATCAGGGTGACTGCTGTTTAAAACCTGAGAACCAATGACAGTAACAAATGGTGATCCTAATTTTTTTCCCCACTTTTCAATAGCTATCAATTATTTAGCATTTGCTATATACCAAGAACTGCATTATTTAGTTCATGTCAGTAGTTACCAAATTGGGATTATTGGATCCAGAGGTAAGCGAAGACTTTTAAAATGTAAGCTGGACTGTTGGGTTTAAAGGAATCAACTCCCGGATCCTCAGCTTCCATGTAAACTCTTTCCTAGCATCCTTGAAAATTCTTCTCCCTGCTCTCCTTTATACAGTATACCTTGTTCTCACTTTCTTAAAAGAAAAAAAGAGAAAAGGCGTATTCCTCTATCCATCCATGACATGATTATGGTACACTGCTTGGAGTGTAAAGTCCTCCAGGGTGCCAAAGGAGTAAAGTTCAAAATACCGATTAGGGAAAGCCTTCTTTACTGACAAATCAAGGCAACAGAGAATCACTATAGGTTTTCTGGTCTTTCCTGTTTACATGAATTTCTATTAGGCATAAAGCACAACTGAAATGGGGGTATGCTGGTCCTGGTTGGGAAGCTGCAATTAACTATATAATATGGCCAGAGGAAGTGAGGGTAATTTTCCCTTAATGACCTCCCTATTATTTAAAAATTCATTGCTTTTCAGGAGACTGATAAGAGCAAAGCAAATAACATTCTCAAACATCATTCCTAGGATTTGTCATTAGGTAGAACAAAAAGCATTTCTGAAGAGCTAAAGCAGAACAAATCAGTGGCATTCTTTTCAAAGCAACTTCAATTTTTCAATTTAAACTAGATAAAAGTAAAAAATGAAATTAATATTTTATGTGATTTCTTACAGATTCCATGTAGAGTTGCTAAGATAGTTAAAATTATTTTTATCAAATTATATTATAAAATATTTATTTCAATTAAGCAATCTCCATCTTATATTTTCTACATCCTAATAAAAATTATAAGTGTGCTAGCTGTTGGAATAATGAGTTTTTAAATAGTATACACTTTTCAGAACTGCATGATCTGTATTTTATATATGAATTTTGCTACTTCAATAAATTCTAGCTTTCCTATACATTGATTAGGTCTAAATATACACATTTAGAGATAAAGATTTTTTTAACATACAAATTAGATTCGATCTACATAATCTTAATCTTGACTTTACTACTTAGTATTATTATAAGATGTATTTACTTATACTTTATGTTTTCTTCATTATTGATAATTTCTATTTTTTTTTTGAGAATGAGTTTCGCTCTTGTCGCCCAGGTTGGAGTGCAATGGCGCGATCTTGGCTCACTGCAACCTCCACCTCCTGGGTCCAAGCGATTCTCCCGCCTCAGCCTCCCGAGTAGCTGGGATTACAAGCGTGCATCACCATGCCTGGTTAACTTTTGTATTTTAAATATATCCTTCATACACTTCCTTATTGATGAGATTTTATAGAATTCCTCAAAATATGTATTGACACACTGAGTTCAAAAAACGAAAAAATGCTTTTTTTCCTGACAGAAAGTAAGTCTGACTTGGCTGGCTGGTGTGATGTTGATAACTGGCTTTGCTGGGTAGGTTATTGGAAATTTTCCAGAAATTGGGTGAACCAATAAGGTATTGCTCAAAATACAGTTCATGTAATAAAAGTGTTTTTCATGAAAAATATACTGATAAAAGATACTGAAATTAACATATTTCAGTTTCCTTAATCATTTCTGAATACATTAAACAAAGTGACTGTGAGAAAAAACATTTTAAAGCCCAAAACAGGTATCATTAGTCCTTTGATAAATAACTATTGGTAAAGTCTTTCTGGTATACGTCCCAGAAAATGAGGGAATAGATGATTGTAATGACTGGGAAACAAATCTTTTTGCAAATTAGATGGCTTTAAATTTTTGTTTTCAACAAAATTGAAGAAATACTGACAGGACATTAAAATATTTTCATTGACAAATAACTTTTGACATTATAGCTGAAGATGCATAAAAACTGAGCAACTCAGTTATAACATAAAATTTTATTTCATCTTTTTATTTGAGAATAAAGGTACCTCAATGCTAAAAAAAAGAAACTGAATGATGAACACTTTTCCTTCTAGAAGTAATATTAAGCTATTACAATTAATTACTGTTTATGAAGTAATTAATATACGTTTGCATAAAATTCTATAGTGCATATAGAATGGAAATATGAGCTCAAAAAGTAAATATTATGACACAACATTTCTTAAAGAGCATTTTCATATTTTTAAAAAAGATAATAGGTATTAATATACTATGGATTTCATATGTAATAGTGATGTTAAAATGTCAATGTTTTACTCTGCCAGAAATTAAATTGTAACTACTGACATTTAAAATGAAAAATTTTATATGTCCATTAAGAAATTTGTGAGACAGTATATAATGTTTACATCCTATAAAATTTATATAACAGTACCTCTTAGGGTTGTTGTAAGAATTAGATTAATTAATATAGTAATGTACTTATTAGTAGGGTACCTGGTATGTAGTAAGTACTATGTAATTGTTAGCTATTTACACCTTAAAGAAGTCCTGCAAGGTGAACATCATAATTTTACAATTAAAATTTTTCCTCAATAGAAAAATTAGGGTCAGAAAAGCTCTTCTGAGATCACAGAGAGAAAATGTATTACTATTAGAGCAGACAAATTGGTATTAGGTGTCAGGTATAAAATCTGAGCTCTTTCCATTAAACTACACTCTATATCCATGAACCCACATTTACCAGGCCCAATTTCAAACTGAGACCAGAATTTCTGCAGTTTTTTAAAATTTAAAGTGTTGGGAAATGCACATCTTGAAAAGGTCAATTATAAAGCAAATGTCCTGGTCTTTAGATGATAAACTTATATATTTAAATATTAGGGAGATGAGCAAATATACACAGCATAAAAGGTAATTGGGTTTTCTTTAAATATGATAAAACTCAAAATTGACAAAGTATAGAATTAAATGACTATATACATGTATTTGAGAGAGCAAATATTTAATATAAACACTGAATATTTTTAAATCTATCTATCTATCTATCTATCTATCTATCTATCTATCTATCTATCTATTTTTCCATCCTGAATAAAGTATCCTCAGGCTTCCTCTTATCTTTATCCTCCATGTTTGAAACTTTCTAAAATTATCAACTATATAAACAAAAAAAGGGACGCTCAGAAGGAACAAAGGATGTTTTCAATGAATTTTTTACTCTGATTACTGAGTTCAGACTATAGTTCCTTAACTTCACGAGCTGCAGAAGGAAGTCTGCTATAAAAAAGATCTGACAACATTCTGAACTAATGATGGCGACTGCTGTACAATGCTTTTGCTCATTTTGTCAGCATATTATTCCCTAGAAGTCAAGGAAGTAACAAAAGCAAAGGCAGGACATCATTTTACAGTTTAACTGCTCAAAAGTCTCAAAAGCTAAATTTCCTTTTAAAGCTACACTCACTGGAGCTTTAATGGAAGTTTGCTTACTCCTAACTCCCCATGTTCCAGGCGAATAATGCAGCAGGGATCATCATTGTGTACGTGGGGGAGATTTTACATTTCAGCAGCAACTTTTGTTAAACACAAATTTGAGAAGGTTACCCTGCCTTCCAGATGCAACTTTTTTGAGGAAATTTACATACTATTCAGTACTTCAAACTGAAAGAATTCATTTATTTTTATAGTGAAGAACAGCATGACAGATAAAATACTGTAAACCTGTGAGCATCTTTTTGGATAGCATTTTACCTAGAAGGGCAAGTTGTCTTCTGTAATTCTGGTAATATAAGTCATCAAAGTTTAACGATTCTAGGTAAAAGTAAATAGTGTACTCTTATGTTTATTAACACTACTGTATTACTACTAACAAATGTCCAGCTTAAATATTTTACATATTCTATAGCTTAGCATGGCAAATATTTGATAACAAGCATATCTGAATACATTATTCATGCAAGTTACACAGAACGAAGTTAGGGGCAAAACATAAAATCGCAGGCTATACGCACCACAAATTATCACATACTCCATTATTATTTAATTATTTTGGAATTCACTTTTAATAACAGCACAAAGATTTACTCTGTTTTACAGAAATGACTGACGAGTATAGGAGTGCTATTGTTTATATTACAGATAAAAATCTAATCTTGACACTTATTAGCCATGAACCATACCTCATCTTACCTAATGAAAGATAATTTGTAAGCCTTTATGGAATATTCCTAAAATGCACAGCAAAGTAAAAAAACAAATCTATAAATGATAACTCATAGAAGAGAAGGAAAAAGAAAATGTAATTAAAACTATATGACAGAAATATCTAATTTATGGTTGAATATACAAAGTACAATTACACTACGTTTAAGTATAATATTTTGAGGAAATGTTTTAAAAATCTGGAATGCATTTTTGAAGTTTACATTCTAACAGTTCTGGCTCTCTTAGGGAACACAATAAAAAGTGACTGGTATTACTATACATAAGATCTGATTTAATTTTTCCACCTACTCTTTTGCTTCTTAAATCTGATCTGAATCCATTACAGAGGAATAGCCTTAAGTTTCAGGGAATATGTACTTTTTAGTCACCTAAAAGCAAATTTCCTTGTTTATTATAATTCAACTTCATTTTACTCTTTTTCAATCACAGAAAATTTAAGAAAAATTTTTGATTCTCGTTTGCTGTGACATGTTCACTCAACTCATTAATATTCATGATTCTCATCGGATTTATAGATAAATCCATGCTTTTTCTATTTTCTTCTGCTTTTTGTCTTGTGGGCAATTCAAAGCAGACCCAGGTAACTAATAACGAAACTCAAAAGTTAGATCTGCATTTCTCTAACTTTGGTCAAAAACTTGATAGAAGTTCAAATCATCATTCAAACACTTATTTTTTGGATTATCTGTAGGTTATACTTGTCATTCTTATAGAATGGAGAAATCTGCTACATAATATGAATCTGTAAGTTACTCTGTATTTAAGGAATATTTACTTCTTTTTATGTAGTGCACCATATGCCTAAGTACTTAAACATTTAAGGAAGGTAAGATAAAAGAGAAGGAAACGGACTAAATTCAGGACTCACAAATGCGAAATCAGTGACACAAAGACCTTCTTTTAAAGGCTATGGTATGAAAGAAAGTCGCAGCAGAGTACCTGTACATCCTGCTTCATCTGCCTGAGCTTCAGGCCCCAGGATTTCTTGCCCTTCCTTTCCTGCTGAAATCAAAGAAGAAATTAAAATAGATCTATAGTGTTCCTAATACAAACGAAAGACAAATGTTTAAAGTTTTGGATATCCCAATTACTCTGATCTGATCATTACACATTGTATACATGTATCAAAATATCACATGTACTCCCCAAATATATACAGCTATTATATATCAATAAAAGATTAAAAAAACAAATCCAGTTGTCACAAACATTTTAACTTCCCGAAATCTGAAAAGGAAACTTTCAGTACAGATTATATTTAATTTGGATTTTTTCCTTTTATGAATATGGTAATGTGTCCTTGAAAAGTAAAGCTGTTTAAAGAAATTAAGTGGACAGTCTTACCAAACTCACGAAGATATCTTAGAGAAGTAAAAGCAGTACAGATTTAGATATTCTGGAATTATAAATATTTTAGGATTATAAGCAAACTGGAATTTTAGTACTATTTTGGGAAAAGAGCTCTACCTATAGACGGTAGAATTATATATTTTTATTTCTTCTCTAAAGCACAAATTTCTATGTTCCAGGCACTGTGCTAGTAACTTACTTCTTTTAAGCTTTGTAACAACATATTTTATAAGTTAAAAAACTTGAGGCTTGGAGAAGTTAAATAACTTGCCCAAAGACATGCCGTTATTAGGTGGTAGAAATGAAATATAAATGCAGGTCTGATTGGCTCCAAAGCCCACTTTCCATCACACTCTTGCTCATTTAACTTGGGTACCAGAAAACTAGAAAGATGACTGGACCAAATGTTACTGTGCCCAAAGTAAACACCTAAGGCATTATGCTTTTTCTTTCACTTTATTCGTTATTCTAATTACTGATATGTAGTAATCAACAATATAGTGCTACTAACAAATATTTTTAGATATCTGTCATCTTCCCTTGCTACCTCTACATTTATAGTGGGCTATCATACAGCATAGGTTCAGAATAAATATTTTGTATTATAAATAAATGCATACTTTTTGGACAAGCAAAAAGTATGTTTTATATTTTCAGGTACATTTTATTTATTATAATAGTGTATTAAGAACATGTGCATAAATGAAAGGCATGAAGAAGTTAAAAACTGTTCTTTTTCTAACTAGTAGCAGAGTATATGTCATAATTATGATCAGAATACTTATACAGTCACACCGAAATAGTGTACTTATCTGCACCCTAATCAAATTGCACTATGTTAGTCAAAAGTCTTGATTGAGATTTCTCTTAGGTTTGATTGTTAAATTGAGAAATAGAGCACTAATCAAGTAAAATCTTTGCATCCCATTATAGCATGTATTTCTTTTAAGTGCCTTGGATTATCACGTGGATTTATTCAGCAGATTTTCTTTACTCATTAACTTTCATACTAGTACATGAAGATGATCATATAGGAAAAACAGTTAAAATATGCACAAACCTCTTTAGATCAATGTAAAAAACACTGTTTTAAGTAGATGATGAGATTAACTTCTGCTGAAGTCTCATTTTACACTTTCCATCAGCAAAATGACAGTTTAAAAATTCTTGGTAAAGTGTTTACAAAGCTGTAGGATAAACACTAGTGTTTGCTAAGTGTCTGCAAACCTCTAGCACCCCCTTTTTCTCGCTTCAATGTGTCTCCTTAAACTAAAATAATAAACAGTATGCCAACTGGGTAATTATATGATGGTAATATAGTTACTGATTATTGTAAACCTATGTTCCTTATTCTTCTAAAATGAAAATCAAAACAGCCAGAGTTACTACCTCGTAAGATGGAATATGACATTGATATTAAAGGTAAAATGACATTTTTGGACACTGCTAATTTTTCTACTTATAACTATTTTAGGAACTGCAATTTGATTAATTTATTTGTTTCTTCATTTCTTCATCCCCCCTTGGGATAAATTCTAGGCTCTTTAGATGAGTATTTAACATACTTCAGAATCTACTCCCAGACCTATTTCCCACAATTTAAAAACTAGAAGTATATTTTTTTCCCTCATTATTGAGGCTGGAGTTTTGGTTGAGCAACTAAGACCATGGTGCCTAATGAAAACAGACAACATCCTAATGTTGGCCTTTAGCACTGCAAAAAAATGCTGCCTTGGGATAGGCTCCTTTCTGCATCAGCCGTGGACTAGCATGAGTGTGTCTGCAAACAGGCTGTGCTAAGTATTTTTCAAGCAGCAGTATCTCTCATGTGTTCTGATCTTACTTCTGGATTTAGGAATTAAAAGGGGAGTAAAGTAATAAAATCTACTTGTACATATTTTTTTCCTGTAAGACGTAATAATGTCAACAGATTAACTGGTTAACCTAAATGCAATTTTAAAAAGAACACTAGAATGCTCCTAAGGTTTTTGTTTATAGTATAAATTCTAAAGCAAATATGTAAGTGAGAAAAATGCCTGAGTAGTAAGACTTTGTTTTTTCAAAATGAAACATAATGGAAAAAGGTGGGCTAAAAAATAAGTCATGAAATATTACTCAGCAATAAAAAAGAACAAACTATTGATACAAGCAACAGCTCAGATGAATTTCCAAGAATTTATAGAGAATGAAAAAGTCAGTCTAAAAGGTTACATACTGTATGATTTCATTTATGTAACTTTCTTCAAATAACACAATTGTAAAGATGGAGATTAGTGGTTGCCAGGGGTAAGGAATGCGGCAAGGTAGAGGGACAGGGGTGAACATGTAATGGGAAACGAGAGCCTGTTAGTGACAGAACTGCTCTGTATCTTGACTGTATCAATGTCAATATGCTTGTTGTGACATTATATTATGTTACCATTGGAGGAAACTGGGTAAAGGGTACACAGGATTTCTCTGTATTATTTGTGAATCTATTATTATGTCAAAATAAAAAGTTTAATTTAAAAATAAGTCAAAGGCAAATATCTCAAATTTAGACCAAAAGAGCTTATGGCTTGTTCTTTTTAGTCATAAGATGAAATTCCTAGTAAATAAAAACAAGGATGGAAAATGTGATTCATTCTAATAAAAATCCAGAAGACTTACTATCATTTGCAGGATAACATAGTTTAAGCTGAAGGACTGATTATTTAGCATATGTGTTAAATTCAAAAACTTGTATTTTTTGAAATTCACACCCATGTGTTTCTAACCATTTCAAATATGTTCATGGGAATATCTTACTGCAACCTCTAAGAAGGCACAGTAAATGCCTAACTGAATCATATTTCCCTTTCCTGGTTTGTCTACTCCTCTTTGACACACATTCACACATGCCATGCACATTTATACCTGTATAGATACTCCTTGACTTATGATGAGGTTAAATATTGATAAACCCCGTTATAAATGGAAAATATCATGTCAAAATGCATTTAATACGCCGGTCCTACTGAACAACACAGTTCAGCCTAGTCTACCTTAATGCTCAGGACAATTACAGTATCCTACAATTGGGCAAAATCATCTAACATGAAGCCCATTTTATAATAAAGTATTAAAATCTCATATAATTTATTGAACACTATATTGAAAATGAGAAACGATTACATGGGTCCTTGGAGTGTGGTTTCTATTGAATACATATTTCTTTCACACCACTGTAAAGTTGAAAAGTCTTAAGTCAATGTTGTAAGTTGGGGACCTTCTCTATACCTTTCCTGAAGTTGCTCCCTCTGCCTAGAAAGCCGTTACCCAGTCCAAATGAGTAACTTCCACAGATTTTTAAAAGGCCAATTCACATCTCTCTCATTCTGTAAGTCATCGCTGAGCCAGCTTTCTGCTATTCCTACCCTATTCCCTGCTAAGGGAAAACTATCAAAAAAGCGAATGCCAACAGATTCCTAAATTCAGACCTGAATGTGTTCAAACTTTAGAGATGAAATGTTTCACTGTATACTTTTCCAGATAGTTTCATTTTCCTGCTCCTGTATCTTCCAATTTATAATATGTATGTGAATATTTGGGGTGTAACTGTATAGCAAAGTTAAAACAAATGCAACTCACAACCTCCATGAACACCCATTAACTTAGATAATGATTAAAAATATATACCTGAGGTCAGATCCAGTTAATATGGAGAATCCACAAACTGTTTATGTCTGCTACTGAATCTAGATAATAAAACTTGAGAATGAAGGAAACGGTTATTTAAAGACTCTAAAGGGTAAGTCACAGCAGGTGGACTGGAGAAGATGACATGACAAGAATTCAGAGTAGCACAGGGTGATTCCCCTTACCTTTTTCTTTCTTCTTCTTTTTTTAAAAGGTACCCCTGGCCTGGATTCAAGGGAGCTTAAAACCTGAAAGTGGGCCCTGGGGCATGGCAGTGAAGGCTCTAGGAGAATCCTTATAGTTTAGGCTCAAGGAGCAGGAAAAGTCTCAAAGAAGAGAAAAATTGCCCTTTTCTCCTTCATTCTCTTGCATCCTAGCCTTCAAGGTAGTAGCAGAGATAATGATAACTGCAAGAATTTAAAACTTTGAGGGAGGGAAAACTTCCTCTCCAGTAGGAGGAGCTGTGGCCCTAAGAGTACAATATAAACTCCACTGAGCTCTTTCTCTCCCTGTCTTCTTTCAGCTCTTCTACAGGCATAGATGCAGGAAGCATGTGGCAAAGTAGGGTAAATAAAGTCCCAGAGTTTTGGCTAGAGGACTGAAAAGCAGAGTCTCCAGGAACTCAAAGTACTGAGATCATGAAAGAGAGAGGCTCAGGAAAGTGACCTCATAAGGCTGTTTATGAACTCTTGGGTTTATGCTCAAACTTCTCATGTGTGAATCTGATCACAGACTGTGAGAAACTAAGTATAGACAGACAATTACCCATGTTCTAGATTGGACCCTGGGTGGTACATGAAGGACAGATCTGAACAGCATTTCAAAGGCTTTGAAAAGTGAACCAGTTGTGGAATCAAAACCTATATACTGGCTGGAGACTGCATCCCGAATACAACTGGATAAATTGCCTGTTAAGCAAAAAATATCAAAATTCTCGATAGGATTTAAATAAGACGAAGTATTAGTCTTATTTAACTTATTAATCTCACAACATAATACTTGAAATATCCAGAATATAATCTCAAATTACTTGGCATGTGAAGAATCAGAAAAAGTCTCAAGTCACATAGGAAAAGATGATCAAAAAATGGCAACATTGGGAAAAAAAGATGTTAGAATTATTAAACTAAGACATTAAGACAACTATTATAAAAATGCTCCAAGAAGTAAGGGTAAACACTGTTGAAAAGAATGGAAAGATAGAATGTCTCAGCAAATGGAAGATATTTAAATAAAAACTAAAAGAAAATTTTAGAACTAAACATACAGTAACCAAAGTTTAAAAATCACTGGATGGGCTTAATAGTAAAATGGAGATAAGAGAGCAAAGACTGGTGAACTTGACAGTACATCAATGGAAACTATCCACTTTGAATAAGACAGAGTAAAAATATTTATTAAAAAATAAAGAGTCTCAGGATAATGCAGGACAATAATAAAATATCTAACTTTCATGTCACTGGAGTCCCAGAAGGAAAAGAGCTGTAGTGCAGAAAAAAAACTGAATAATGTTTAAAAATTTCCCAAATTTAGTGAAAGACATAAACCAACAGATTTAAGAACTGAACCTCAAATAGTAACCTCCTAACCCCCCAAATCTAGGCTCGAACCCATCAATCAAACACTAGGCTCAAATCCATCAATCAAACTAGTTTAAAAAAATACTAAAAAGAGCCAGAGGAAATAATATATAATTATAGGGGATCAATGGACTACAGAGTTATAATCAGAAATCATAGATTCCATAAGAAAGTGGAACATGTTTAAAACAAAAAATATCTGTCAGCTCAAAATTCTAAATTCAATAAGAATATCCTTTAAAAAACGAAGGTAAAATAAAGACATTCTCAGATAAAAAGTATAGTTCATTGCTGGCAGATCTGTTCTAAAAGAATTACTAAAGGAAGACTGTCATAAAGAAGGTGAAATGAGGGACACTTGGAATGTCGGGAATAAAAGAAGAAGAGAAATGATGTAGTACATATAAAAACTATAAAATAAAGGAGGGAGAATAACAAGACTTACATGAAAGATTTATACAATCCACTTGGCAGGGTAAAAGATTGATTCTAAATAGACTGTGAAAAGTTAGGATGTACATTCTAATCCATAGAGCAACCACTAAAAGAAATCTATACAAAGATACATAGTCAAAACTAAATTAAAATGGAATACTAAAAAATATTCAAATGATCCAAAACAAGGCAGAAAAAGAGGACCAGAAGAGTGAAAATACAGAGAGAAAAACAAAAAACAAATAATAAAATGATAAACCCAAATCCAAACATAAAACATTTTATGAAATATAAATGGCCTAAACAAACCAATTAAGGGCAGAGATGATCAGAATAGACCAAAAATAATAAAAAAAATCCCCATTAATATCCTATCTACAAAAATTTCTTCAATTATAATTACATAGTTTAAAAGTAAAAGGATAAAAAATTCTATCATGAAAAATTATATCATTAACCAGAAGAAAGCTAGCGTGATTATAGTAATATCAGACAAAGTAGACTTCAGTGATAAGAAAATTATCAGAGATCAAGAAAAACATTGCATAATGATAAGAGGGTCAATTTGCCAAGAAAACAGAGAGATCTTAAATGTGTATGCCTTTAACAACAGAGCTTTAAAATAAGCAAAGCAAAAATGAACAGAACAAAAAGTAGAGACAAATCTACAATATTCTTGCAGGCTTCTAATACTCCTCTTGCATTAACTGACAGAACAAGTAGACAAAAAATTAGCAAGGATATAGAAGAACCAGGCAACATTAACAACTAGATCCAAATAACATTTATAGATTTATAGAACACACCCCAATGACGAAATTCACATTCTTTTCAAATGTACACAAAATATTCATGTAGACACACCACTTCCAAGATCATAAAACAAAACAAATTTTAAAGGATTTAAATTCTATAAAGTATGTTCTATGATCATAATGACCAGATGTCAATAGGAAAAAGATAAGAAAATCTCCAAAACACTGGAAATTAATAAACTGATTTAGAGAGAATCTATGGATCAAAAAGGGAAATAAAAAACATCAAAATCTGTGGAGTGTCCCTAAAACACTGTATAGAGGGGAATTTATAGCATTAAATGCTTGTGCTAGAAAAGAAGGTCTCAGATCAAAATTCTGAATTGTGTATTAAAACAACAGTAAACAAGGAGCAAAATAAACCCAAAGCAAGCAGAAAGAAGTAATAAAAATCAAAAAGCAATAAAATTAAAAAAAAAAACAGTGAGACAAAAAGCTGGTTCTTTGTAAAGATCAATGCAATGGACAAAACTGTAGTAGGATCGGTAAGCAAAAAAAGAAGCCACAAATTGCTACTATCAGGAATGAAAAGAGAATACCACTGTAGAACCAGCAGATATTAGAAGGATATAAAGGAATGCTCTGAACAATTGTGTAAACATAAACCTAAAGAAGTGAAATAAGTAAATTCCTTGAAAATCAGACACTAAACACATCCAAGATGAATACAAAACCTGAATATTCCTGTAAATATTTTTAAATTGAATTAGAAAATCTTCCTCCTAAGCAAAACAAAACTCCAGGACCAACTTTCACTTGCAAATTTTATCAGATATTTAAAGAAGAAATAACACCAATTTAAATATTTTTTTTAAGGCCAGGATTATTCTAATACCAAAACCATAGGACAATAGTACGAAGAAAATAAAAGAAAAAGAAAAAGAAAAAAAATTATAGACTAACATACCTTATGAACATCGACACAAAAATCTTCAACAAAATATTAGCAATATACAAAAAGAAAATGATAAAGTGAGGCTTTTCAGAGAATAAAGCCTGATTCAATATTTGAAATTGATTAGTGCATTCCTCCATATTCACAGATTAAAGTAAAACCATATGATCATTTCAATTGATGCAGAAAAAGCATTTGAAAAAAAGCAACATTTATTCATGATGAAAACTTGCAGCGAACCAGGAATAGAAGGGAAGTTACTCAATTTGATAAAGCGTATCTACAAGAAACCTACAGTTAACATTACACTTAAAGGAGAAAGACTATGCTTTCTTCTCAAGATTAAGAAAAAGCCAAGAATGTCCGTTATCACCTCTCTTGATGTCTTGCAATAAGTCAATAAAAGAATTACAGGCATACACATTAGAAAGGAAGAAATAAAAATGTCCCTATTTGCAGAAAACAAGACTGTCTACATAGGCAATGAACTGGAAACCAAATTAAAAGAAAAAAACTTCAAGCCATTCACAGTTCTTATCTCCAAAGAAGAAATATATAGGTGTAAATTTAACAAACTATGTACATGATCTGTATTCTGAAATTATGAAACACTGATGTAAGAAAAAGAAAACCTAAATAAATGTAAACACACACCATGTTCATTAATTGGAAGACTCCTCAACACTTTAAGGAAGAAGTCAGTTCTCTCCAAATTGATCTGCATATTTAACACAAATCAAATCAAAATTTCAGCATGATTATTTTTAATATAAATAGATTATCTAAAATTTATATGAAAAGGCAAAGGAACTATAATAGCCAAAATGATTTTGAAAAATAAAATTAGAGAAATAACATCCTCCAATTTTAAGACTTACTATCAAGCTACAGTAATCAGGATTACGTGGTATTGGCAAAAGGATGGATGTACAGATCAACAGAATGGAACAAAGTCCAGAAACTGACCCACATAAATATAGACAATTAATTTCTGACAAAAATGCAAATATATTCAATAGAGAAAGAATAGTCTTTTCAACAAGCAGTATTGGCACAATTGGACATCCATATTGAAGAAATGAAACTTCACCTCAATCTAACATCTTATAAAAAAATTAGGTCAAAATACAACAAGCCCTAATAAAAAGGTGAAGAAAACAAAGAGAAAAACCTGATGATCTGGAGTTAAGCAGAGTTCCTGCACATGACACCAAGCATGATGAAAATCATGATCCATAAAAAGAAAAAGTGATAAACTAAATCTCAATTAAAACTTTTGTTCTGTGAAAGACTAGGATAAGAGAATGAAAAGACAAGCTACAGTAGTCTTTACTACAACTCTAAAGAACTCTCAAAATTTAATAAAATAAGTAACTCAACTAGAAAATACATGTATACATATGTAACAAACCTGCACATTGTGAACATGTACCCTAGAACTTAAAGTATAATTAAAAAAAGAAAAAAAAAACACTACAGAAAAAAAAGAAAAGAAAATACACAAAAGGTGTTAAGCAGACACTTCACTGAAGAGGACATAATAAACACATGATAAAATGTTTAACTTCATTAGCCATTAGGGGAATGCAAATGAAAACCAAACCTGTTATGAAAACACACCTATTAGAATGGTTAAAGTAAAAAATATCTGATAAAACAAAATGCCTGTGGCCATGTAGAGAAAGTGGATCATCTCTTATTTATTACTGGTGGGATGGTACAACCACTCTGGAAAAGTTTGGCAGTTTCTTGAAACATTAAATATATACAACATATTATGCAGCAATCACACTTCTAAATATTTACCCTAGAGAAATGAAAACTTAACTTCACCCCCCAAAACCTGTATACTAATGTTTACAGCAACTTTACTCATAATCTCCGTAAATTGGAAACAACCCAAATGTCCTTCCACTAATGAATGGATAAACTGTGGCACACCCATACAATGAAATACTACTCATTAATAAAAAGGATCAAACTATTGATACACGCAACAACTTGAATACATCTGAGTGAAATAGAAATGTTTCATATTGTATGCTGAGTGACACAGATTATGTTTCATGTTGTATGATTTCATTTTTATAACATTCTCAAGAAGAGAAAATGATAGCAAAAGATCACGGTTGCCAGGATTTGTGGTAGAATGAAAATGTGACTAAAAACGGGTAGCACGATAGTGCTCTGATGATGGAACTGTTCTGTGCCCTGATCGTCATGGTTGCTACATGAATACACTTATGTGTGTGTCTGTTTGTGTGTGTGTGTATTAAAGCTCAAATAAATGAATATCAAGTCAATTTTATAGTATGTTAATTAAAAAAATATTTCCTGAGGTCTTAACACTCAGAAAAAAAAAAGAAACTT
Organism: Homo sapiens; assembly: GCF_000001405.40. Lineage (NCBI taxonomy): Eukaryota > Metazoa > Chordata > Mammalia > Primates > Hominidae > Homo > Homo sapiens. Next base: position 31,485,675 of record NC_000010.11, on the reverse strand, counting down.
ACTTTTCTAGTTCTAGGTGCTAATTCTGTAAGTAGAAATCCAGAAGAATAGGAGTGTTTACAGATTTTTAAAACTATTTTAATGTTTTGGTCTCAGTTATTTGAAAGACCAACTGATAATAATACACAATAATGTTTTTGTATTTAATCAATCCACAAGTAGTACAGAAATCAGATCCAGAAATCTTATGAGTAGTTTTACTTTAGGAATAAAAAGAAATGAGGCAGTGGATAAGGGCAAACGCTTTAGAGTCAATTATTCCTAGGTGAAGACATTGGCTCTACTGGGTCCGTGAGTAGACTTTGGGGAGTGATACAACTCAGTTAGTCCTTAGTTTCCACATGTATACGACTAGAGCATTACATCACAGGATTGTTGTGAATACTGAGCTCTCGTTTAGCCCAATGCTTAGCACACTGCAAATGGCCATTATTAGGGATTCTATAAATATACAAATTGTTTTGAGACTCTTAAAATTATCTTTATTACATGTAGAATTTGAAGATCATCTTGTCTGAAACATTTTCACCTCAAATTAATTCATTAAATTTTAAGAGCAGGGTATAAATGGATTGACAATTATAGGAATGATTTAATTAATTAACTAATCCATTCATCCAATTCACTATTTGAGGATCCATCAGCCAGAAACTCTATAGATGTTGAAATACAAAATTGGAAAGACCACTAACATCAAAGAACAAAGGTTGGGGGAGAGAGAGACAGAGAATTACAACATCATTGCAAAAGTGCTGCAACAGAGATGTATGTCATTGGATTACATGATAACCTAATTACCATATTTTTTCTCTAAGTTGTTCTGAAGGAACTTATATAACAAACAGTGACATATTCTTATACAATAGTGATAATGAGTAAAATAATCTAAGGAAATAACATTCAATTTCAGTCATCTGTGTACCCTCATTATCATTCCTTTTCTGTCAGCCAGCAAGAAAAAAATATTCATTTACCGTAAAAACTAAGAATAACCAGCCCACATACAGTATAGGCTTGCTAAACATTTTGACCCTAATCAGTTAAGTAAAATATCCGAAGTCCTGAATCATCTGAGTGACTTATGATAGTACGGAAGTTAATGGCATAGTTTACAGACTCAGACCGCCTGGTTGAAATTACAGATAATAATTACTATCAGTGACTCTGGTAAATTACCTAATGTCTTTTGTACTTATTTTTTCTCATCCATAAAATAGGGCTAAGTAACCTGCTTCATTACAGTATTGCAAGGATTAGATTAATATATAAAACACAATTTAGAACATTACTTGACACAAACTGCTCAGTATAGTTATGATTATTAATATTAGCCAGTGGTTTATGAACTTGTGTGATTTTTTTTACATTGTGGTCTGCAGAATAAGGCATCCATGAAGATGTCCACATCCTAGTACTCTGACCCTGTGACTATATTACTTTAAATGGTGAAATGGACTTTGCAGATGTGATTAAAATTATGGACCTCAAGGTGGGGAGATTATCCTGGATTATTTGGGTGGGCCAGTTAATCACGAGCTCTTAAAAGTGAAAGAGAGTGAGGCAGGAGTGGAGATACGATATGAAACAAACTTGACCTGTTTTCCTGGCTTTAGAGAAAAGAAGTCACAAGCCAAGGAATGCAGGTACCCTCTAGAAGCTGGGAATGGCCTTCAGCCAGCAAGGAAATGGGGTCCTTGTATGATCAAAAGGATCTGACTATGCCACCATCTGAGGAAGAAAATGAATCTTCCCCATGAACTTACAGAAAGGAATACAACACTTAGATTTTAGCCCAGTGAGACCTGGGATGGACTCACAACCCACAGAGCCAAAAGAAAGTAAATTTGTGTTGTTTAAATCGTAAGTGTGTTGTCATTTGTTATGGCAGCAACAGAAAACCAATACAGGTGGTTAAATATTTATAGAACAGAGAGAAGAATGAAGATAACAGCAATCTGCCAGCTAGCTACAGATAAGATTGCCCTGCAGAGGTCAATATTTTTTTCTTTTTGCTGTTTTACTTTCATCAGATACTATGAATCTGAAAATCACCAGTAATGTAGTAATTACCGGATTCTACCTTATTGGAGGCCATGGGAAATTAAAAAGAATATATGATATGGTAACTTCTCTTAAGATGTTTCTATATGGATGGGCATTGATACTGACAGAATTACCTCTGCACTGCTCTATTATATGTATGGATATCATATTTAATGTATATGTATTTTTCTGTTGGACCTATAAGAAAAAAAGAATAGCATGCTTTGGAATCAAATAGACCTGGGTTTGAATCTTGGCTTTCCATTACTTAATGTACCATCTTGGCAAGATATTTAACCTGTCTGAGCCTCATTTTCCTTATTTTTAGAAAGGAGCCAACATCTATCTCACAGAGCTATTCTAAGTATGAAAATAAATAATATTTGGGAAAGCAATTAGCATTAGGTCTGTACAGGTACACTCAGTATTATTTTTCTTACCCAATATATGAAATGTGGGATTGCCACTGATTGTTAATTTATTGTGTCCAGCCTTCCCAGTCCTCCAGTGTTTTAGAGAAGAGGCATATTCTCTCAAACCCCAACCAGGCCTGAACAGAAAAGCCTAATGAAAGCAGAATTAGCCTGATTTATCCTTGCCCCTGAAGTTCAAGGTATCGCGACCAGGTCTGAAATGTGCGGAAGTAAGCTGGCACTCTGCAACATGGAGGCAGATCAGGAAAAGTACAAAAAACTTTCCTTTGGGGCAAGATATCTGACATTCTTTTAGGCTAACAGAATGGGACAAGAGTCAGAGATCTAGGAATGATCCTCTGACCTACTATGCACTTTGTAAACTGAATTATTATTATATTCCAATATTTTTCCTTTTGTTTTATTACTGCTTATTAAAATATTTTTGAAAATTCCAACTTTTTTCAGGTAATACATACTAACAAAGCCCAAGGAAAGGATTTTGCTTCATTTTGATCAGAAATTTTCAAAGTATCTCAATTTGAAAAATTTCAGACTTACAGAAAAGCTGTAAAAAATCAACATTCTTGTATACCCTTTAACCAGTATCCCCTAAAGAGAACATGACATAATCACAGCAGTGTTATGAAAGATATAAAATTAACATTATACAATGCTATTAACTTATCTAGGGACCTTATTTGCCCTTTTCCAGTTTCCCCACTAATAATCCTTTTTTTTTTTTTCTGGCCCAGGAGCCAATTTAGTATGCTACACTGTATCATGTGTCCATAACCTCCTGTAACCTCTACCAAAATTTGATAATCCAATCTGTTTGTCTTTGACAAGTTGCTTCTGTCTTTATTTGTATTTTATGACCTTGACATTGACACTTTTGAAGCGTACTGGGCACTGATTTTGTCATATGCCCCTCAACTTGGATTTCTCTGATGTTTTCTAATTATTAGATTGAGGTGATGTATTTTGAGCAAAAACAGAACTAAAGCAATAGGTGCCCTTGTCAATATACCACACTAGTGGCACATGGTATGTCACTATGTCTTATTACTGGTGATATTATCATCTGTAATTGATCATCTGGTTAAGGTGGTGCCTGCCAGGTTTATTTTTCCACACCAGTTGTGATGTTTCTCTTAGCAATTATTAATTATCTTCTGGGAAAATACTTCAAAATTATGCAAAAAATCTTTTTTCTCATGACACTTTCACCCACTTATTTTAATATCCATTGATAGTTCTTTTAAACAATTATTACCATGATATTTGCCTAATGGTGAGTCTCCATTTCCATATTTACTTATTAATTTATAATTGGATTTCTACTGTAAGGAAGACCTGTCCTTTCCCTCCCAGGTGTTTAAGTATTTATATCAATACAGATGGATGGATATTTCTTTTATTTTCTGGATTATAATAATGCTATCATTATTTATTTTGCTGCTAAAATTGCTCCAGAATTGGCTATTGGGAACTCCTTCAAGTTGGCTCCTGTGTTTTTTTGACATGCTCTCATCATTCATTCATTTAGTCATTCATTTTTTGAGATGGAGTCTTGCTAAGTTGCCCAGGTTGGTCTCAAACTCTTGGTCTCAAGCGATCCTCCTGCCTCAGCCTCCCGAGTAGTTGGGATTACAAAGCCTCCTGAGTAGCAGGGATTGCAGGTGCATGCCGCTGCACCTGAAATTTATTTTTACTTATTTATGTGTACTTACTATTCTAGGCTCATCTTCCATTTTCCCTGCCCTAGATATAGAATCAGCCATTTCTCCAAGGCGGCATAGTACCTTCTACTGGAGAATGGTATTTAAATCCTAGATCTGGGTATTATCTATGTTCACTACTACTGGGTGTCACTGCTTTCATGTCTTGTTAGTAGGCAGGGCTTGGAAATATATGTATGTACACTAACATACCCCATCTATATTTTCATATTTATCTGTTTTTATATATATTCAGAACCATAAGTTCATACTGATACTTCCAATTCCAACTGAACACCATAGCCCTGAACACACTAGCCTTTTATCTTACGGTGAGAAATCTGGGTCTTATTATCTGAAACATATTTACTTACTTGTTATATCCCAGTATACACTTAAGTAGTTTCAGAACAACCCAAATCTCTATGACAAATTTAATAACTGGAAGGAGAATGGAAACAGGGTAGTAGGCATAGGGGGAGGATTGATACTTCCCTGAGTACACCCTTTTGTAGAGCTTATTTATATAACTATGGCAATGTTTCCTATTCCCTCAAAAAATAAATAATTTAAATCATCCAGCAGATAGGGAGAATGAAAAATACAATACCAACAGTAATAAAACTATTATGAATGAGGTATGGAAAACAAGAAATTACCTAAGTAACTTTGGAAAATATTTTAAATGACTACCTATTATAAGGCTAATGACCAAAAGACCTATACACACTGTATTCTAGGTAGCAAATTTGTTTGATTGGTTTTTTAAAGAGGACAAAATGTACACCAAGGTTCAACATTGCAGGGAAAGCCTACACTCCTTCATTAGTGCCACCTCTGAATACTCAAGATACCCAGAAATACTTAAACATTCATACAGTATATTTAGTGCAAATGGAAGTGTTCCCTTATAAGTAGAGCTAAAAAATAAAACAACACTCAGGGGTCATCTGGCCCATTGCTTTCATTTTACATATGTACAAGTGGAACTCAAGAGATGGTACAGCGAAGACTAGAAGCCATGTGCTCAATCTTTTCTAAATCATACACCACCTCTGGTTGAAAATGATTCCAAAGAGTAGGTTCAACTGAATCTTGAAGGATGAATACAATTTGCTTCAAGGCTTAGATAGTGACTGATACATTCTTTACATGTATTACTTATAGTATTTTATTATAATTTATGCCCAAGAAAGCGTTATTACTATGTGCTATATGATCAGAGTTTTAAACATTTTTAACATAAAAAGTTTAATTGTCTTGGCAGTTTTTAAACATGTCAATTTCTAGAGAGCTTTAAAAACTACATGTGAGAAAAATGTTTTTAAATCGCTGTTAACTTGGGACAGTTTTAAAACTCACCAATTGCAAAACATTAAGAAATAGCTAACATGTTGAACAATATTTCACATTATCAGATCAGTTTTATATATGTTTTAAAAACTGAAAGCATAAGGATGCCTTTAAGACAGGTGTTTCAAAAGTTATACTTAAAAAGTTTAACTGACACAAGCATGAGAGTTTTTGGCTGAACCACAAGATCTTGTAAGATTAATACAGACATGTTGGAACATTGCCAACTTATACTTTCTTCTCTACAGAGAATAAAGTTGATAGTATTTTAAGTCAATAGCACTTACTGTATAAATTTTATTTTTAATAACAAACATGTCCTAGTTTAATATTTACAATAAAATACTCCTTTTTCCATATGATTCTTTTAAGAACTTAATCCTAATTTGGAGTTTCATTCACAGATAATAGCTTTTTAAAGGTACTTACTACATACTTAACAATTTCAATAGCATATTATATTTCCCAATATAATTTAGATCTTTGACATTATGTTACAGATCTGTGAATATCAGAATATTAATGTCTTATGTCACATTTTTTATCTGCATAGGTTAAACCATTCTTGCATCCCAGGAGTAAGTCCCAGTTGATCATGGTGTATGATATTTTAAATTTCCTACTGAATTCAATTTGCTATTATCTTGTTGAGGATTTTTGCATTTACCTTCACCAGAGATGCTGGCCTATAATTTTCTTGTGTTCTTATTTGAATTTGATATCATAACAATGCTGGTCTTACAGAATGACTTTGGCAGTATTCCTTTATCTTCAAATTTCTAGAAGAATTTGAGAAGAACTGATTCTACAAGTTGACCACTTGTCATTAATTCTTCCTTAAATGATTAGTACAATTAACCAATGAAGCCATCTCATCTTGACTTGTCTTTGTTGGGAGATTTTTGATTACAGCTTCAATCTCCTTCCTTGGTCTGTTATATCTTCTGTTTCTTCATGGTATATCTTGGTAGGTTGTACGTTTCTATTCATTTATCCATTTCTTCAGGATTATCCAATCTGTTAGTGTATAACTGTTCATAACAGTCTCCTATCATCCTCTGTCTTTGTTTAGTATCAGTTGTAGTGTACCCTTTTCCTTATAAATTTCTTTTTTTAAGATTTTAGATTTGGGGGGCACATGTGCAGGTTTATCACATAGATATATTACATAATAGTGAGGTTTGGGCTTCTAATGTACCCATAATCCAAACAGTGAACAAGCTGTACCCAATTGTAAAATTGTAAATTCGAATTATAAAAATCCGAATTCCCCTTTTACCTTCCCCCTTTTTGGAGTCTCCAACGTCTGATATTTACATCTTTGCATCTATATGTAACCACTGTTTAGCTCCCACTTACAAGTGAGAATGTGCAGTATTCGCTTTTCTGTTACTGAGTTATTTCACTTAGTATAATGGCCTCCAGCTCCATCCATGTAGAAACTTCTAAAAAGGACATAATTTCATTTGTTTTTATGACTGCATAGTATTTCATGGTATATATGGACCACATTTTCTTTATCCAATTATCCACTGATATACACTTAGGTTGATTCCATGACTCTGCTATTGTGAGTAGTTCTGCGATAAACATACATAAAGGTGTCTTTCTTATATAATGATTTCTTTTCCTTTGGGTAGAAGCCCAGTAGTGGCATTGCTGAATTGAATGGTAATTCCATTTTTAGTTTTTTCAGGAATCTCCAAACTGTTTTCCATAGCGGTTGTACTAATTTGCATTCCCACCAACAGTGTATAAGAATACCCTTCTCTCTGCATCCATGCCAACATCTGTTGTTTTCTGACTTTTAATCATAGCCATTCTGACTGGTATAAGATAATATCTCATTGTGGCTTCAATTTGCACTTCTCTGATGATTAGTGATATTAAGCATTTTTAAAATGTTTGTTGGCAACTTTATGTCTTCTTTTAAGAAATGTCTGTCCATGTCCTTTGACCAATATTTAATGGGGTTGTTTTTCTCTTGCTGAGTTATTTGGGTTCATTGTAGATTCTGGATATTAGTTCTTTGTCGGAGGTATGACTTGCAAATGTTTTCTCTCATTCTGTAGGTTGTCTGCTTACTCTGTTATTTCTTTTGCTGTGAACAGGCTTTTTGGTTTAATTAAGTCCCACCTGTGTACTTTTGTTCTTGTTTTATTTTCTTTTGGGGTCTTAGTCATAAATTCTTTGCCTAAGCCAATGTCCAGAATAGTTTTTCCTAGGTTTTCTTTCAGGATTTTAAGTTTCACATCTTACATTTATGGGTCTTTAATCCATCTTGAGTTAATTTTTTAATATGATGAGACACAGAGGTCCAGTTTCATTTTTCTGCATGTGGTTGGCCAATTTCCCAGCACCACTTACTGAATAGGATGTCCTTTCCCCATTGTTTATTTTTGTTGAATCTGCTGAAAGTCAGTTGGTTGTAGGTATGTCACTTTATTTATGAGTTCTTTGTTCTATTCCTCTGATCTATGTGTCCATCTTTATCATGGTATCACGATATCAGTAACATGCTGTTCAGCCTTGTAGTATAATCTGAAGTTAGGTAATCTGATGTCTCTGGCTTTGTTCTTTTTGCTTAAGATTGCTTTGGCTATTCAGGCTCTTTTTTTGGTCCATATGAACTTCAGGATTGTTTTTTCTAATTCTGTGAAGAATGACATTGGTAATTAGGGATTGCTTTGAATCTGCAGATTCCTTTGGGCATTGTGGTCATTTTTAACAATATTGAGTCTTCCAATCCATGAGCACGAGATATTTTTCCATTTGTGTAATCTTCCTGTAGAGAACTTTCACCTCTTTGGTTCAATGTATTCCTAGTTATTTTATTTTTGTGTGTGACTACTGTAAATGGGATAGAGTTCGTGATTTGGTTCTCAGATTCAGTAACAGTATACAGAAATGCTACTGGTTTATGTACATTCATTCTATATCCTAAAACTTTACTGAAGTTGTTTATCAAGTCTAGGAGTCTTTAGGATTTTCTAGGTATGGGGGCATGTCATCAGTGACCAGAGATAATTTGATTTCCTCTTTTCCAATCTGGATGCCTTTTGTTTCTTTCTCTTGCCCAACTGTTCTGTCTAGGACTTCCAGTACTATGTTGAATAGAAGTGGTGTGAGTAGGCATCCTTGTCTTGTTCCAGTTCTTAGGGTGAATGCTTTCAACGTTTCCCCATTCAATATGATGTTGGCTGTGACTTTGTCATATATGATTCTTACTATTTTTAGGTACGTTCCTTCAATGCCTAGTTTTTGAGGGTTTTTAACATGAAGTGACATTGAATTTTACCAACAGCCTCTTCTGCATCTATTGATTGACATGATCATATCGTTTTTCTTTTTAATTCTGCATATATGGTGAATCACATTTACTGACTTGCAAATGTTGAACCATCTTTGCATCCCTGAAATAAAACACACTTGATTGTGATACATTTTGTTTTTGATGTGCGATAAATCTGGTTTGCTAGAATTTTGTTGAGGATTGTTACATTTATATTCATCAGGGAGATAACAAGTATCACAGAAAGAGTTAGGGAGGTATCCTTCCTGCCTTGGTATTTTGGAATAGTTTCTGTAAGACTGGTACCTGCTCTCCTTTGTAGATAAGGCAAAACTGTCCTGTAAATCTCTCTGGTCCTGGGCTTTTTTGTTGTTGGAAGGTTTTTTTTTACTATTGATTCAATTTCCTTACTCATAATTTGTCTGTTCAGGATTTCTATTTCTTCCTGATTCAATCTCAGGAAGTTGTGTGTTCCAGGAATTCACATATTTCTTCTAGGTTATCTAGTTTGTGCACATAGAGATGCTCATAGTAACCCCTGATGAGCTTTTGTATTTCTGTTGTATCAGCAATACTGTCACCTTTATCATTTCTGATTGTGCTTACTTGAATTTTCTCTCTTTTTTCTTCATTAAACTAGTTAGTGGTCTACCAATTTTGTTTATCCATTCAAAGAACAAACTCTTCATTATGTTGATCCTTTTCATCATTTTTTTTTGGTCTCAATCTCATTTGGTTCTGCTCTTTGTTATTTCTCTTCTTCTGCTAGTCCCTTTACTTTGAGTCTGTAGTTGTCTTTTGCCATTAGGTGGGTCTCTGGTAGGCAGCAGATGGTTAAGTCCTGCTTCTTTTATCCAATTTGCTAGTGTTTATTTTTTAAATGGAATATTTAGGCCTTTTATGTTCAAGGTTAATATTAATATGTGTGTTTTTTTCCCATCATAGTTTTGTTAGCTAGGTGCCTTGGAGTCTCAGTTGTGTAACTGCTTTATTGGATCTTTGAGGTTTCTACTTACCTGTGCTTTATATGATGGTGAGTATTATCCTTTCATTGCCATGTTCAGAACTCCTTTGAGCATTTCTTGTAAGATGGTGTAGTGGTGATGAATTCTCTCTATGTGTGCTTATCTGGGAAAGACTATTTCTCCTTCAATTATGAAGCTTAGTTTGGCAGGATATAAAATTCATGTCTGACATTTTTTCAAGGTGGTTAAAAATAGGCCTCTAATCTCTTATGTTTTACAAGGTTGCTGCTGAGATGTCTACCATTAGGTTGATGAGCTTCCTTCATAGGTGATTTGACACTTGTCTCTAGCTGCCTTTAAGATTTTTCTTTCATATTGACTTTGAATAGCCTAATGACTATATGCCTTGGTCATGTTAATGTTGTACAGTATTTTTCAGGTGCTCTCTGAATTTCTTGTATCTTGATGTCTACATCTCTAGAAGATTGGGTGATTTTCCTAAATTATCCCCTCAAATATTTTTCCAAGCTTTCTACTTTTTCCTCTTCTCCATCAAGAATGCCTGTAAGTCACAGTTTTGGTAGCTTTACATAATCCTGTATTTCTTGAAGACTTTGTTCATTTACAAAACTTATTTTTTGTCTGATTGGGTTAATTTGTTTTTTTTTTTCTTTTATTATTATACTTTAAGTTTTAGGGTACATGTGCACATTGTGCAGGTTAGTTACATATGTATACATGTGCCACGCTGGTGCACTGCACCCACTAACTCGTCATCTAGCATTAGGTATATCTCCCAATGCTATCCCTCCCCCCCGCCCCACCCCACAACAGTCCCCAGAGTGTGATGTTCCCCTTCCTGTGTCCATGTGATCTCATTGTTCAATTCCCACCTATGAGTGAGAATATGCGGTGTTTGATTTTTTGTTCTTGCGATAGTTTACTGAGAATGATGATTTCCAATTTCATCCATGTCCCTACAAAGGACATGAACTCATCCTTTTTTATGGCTGCATAGTATTCCATGGTGTATATGTGCCACCTTTTCTTAATCCAGTCTATCATTGTTGGACATTTGGGTTGGTTCCAAGTCTTTGCTATTGTGAATAGTGCCTCAATAAACATACGTGTGCATGTGTCTTTATAGCAGCATGATTTATAGTCCTTTGGGTATATACCCAGTAATGGGATAGCTGGGTCAAATGGTATTTCTAGTTCTAGATCCCTGAGGAATCGCCGCACTGACTTCCACAATGGTTGAACTAGTTTACAGTCCCACCAACAGTGTAAAAGTGTTCCTATTTCTCCACATCCTCTCCAGTACCTGTTGTTTCCTGACTTTTTAATGATTGCCATTCTAACTGGTGTGAGATGGTATCTCATTGTGGTTTTGATTTGCCTTTCTCTGATGGCCAGTGATGATGAGCATTTTTTCATGTGTTTTTTGGCTGCATAAATGTCTTCTTTCGAGAAGTGTCTGTTCATGTCCTTTGCCCACTTTTTGATGGGGCTGTTTGTTTTTTTCTTGTAAATTTGTTGGAGTTCATTGTAGATTCTGGATATTAGCCCTTTGTCAGATGAGTAGGTTGCAAAAATTTTCTCCCATTTTGTAGGTTGCCTGTTCACTCTGATGGTAGTTTCCTTTGCTGTACAGAAGCTCTTTAGTTTAATTAGATCCCATTTGTCAATTTTGGCTTTTGTTGCCATTGCTTTTGGTGTTTTAGACATGAAGTCCTTGCCCGTGCCTATGTCCTGAATGTTATTGCCTAGGTTTTCTTCTAGGGTTTTTACGGTTTTAGGTTTAACATTTAAATCTTTAATCCATCTTGAATTGATTTTTGTATAAGGTGTAAGGAAGGGATCCAGTTTCAGCTTTGTACATATGGCTAGCCGGTTTTCCCAGAACCATTTATTAAATAGGGAATCCTTTCCCCATTGCTTGTTTTTCTCAGGTTTGTCAAAGATCAGATAGTTGTAGATATGCGGCGTTATTTCTGAGGGCTCTGTTCAGTTCCATTGATCTATATCTCTGTTTTGGTACCAGTACCATGCTGTTTTGGTTACTGTAGCCTTGTAGTATAGTTTGAAGTCAGGTAGTGTGATGCCTCCAGCTTTGTTCTTTTGGCTTAGGATTGACTTGGCGATGCAGGCTCTTTTTTGGTTCCATATGAACTTTAAAGTAGTTTTTTCCAATTCTGTGAAGAAAGTCATTGGTAGCTTGATGGGGATGGCATTGAATCTGTAAATTACCTTGGGCAGTATGGCCATTTTCACGATATTGATTCTTCCTAGCCATGAGCATGGAATGTTCTTCCATTTGTTTGTATCCTCTTTTATTTCCTTGACCAGTGGTTTGTAGTTCTCCTTGAAGAGGTCCTTCACGTCCCTTGTAAGTTGGATTCCTAGGTATTTTATTCTGTTTGAAGCAATTGTGAATGGGAGTTCACTCATGATTTGGCTCTCTGTTTGTCTGTTACTGGTGTATAAGAATGCTTGTGATTTTTGTACATTGATTTTGTATCCTGAGACTTTGCTGAAGTTGCTTATCAGCTTAAGGAGATTTTGGGCTGAGACAATGGGGTTTTCTAGATATACAATCATGTCGTCTGCAAACAGGGACAATTTGACTTCCTCTTTTCCTAATTGAATACCCTTTATTTCCTTCTCCTGCCTAATTGCCCTGGCCAGAAATTCCAACACTATGTTGAATAGGAGTGGTGAGAGAGGGCATCCCTGTCTTGTGCCAGTTTTCAAAGGGAATGCTTCCAGTTTTTGCCCATTCAGTATGATATTGGCTGTGGGTCTGTCATAGATAGCTCTTATTATTTTGAAATACGTCCCATCAATACCTAATTTATTGAGAGTTTTTAGCATGAAGGGTTGTTGAATTTTGTCAAAGGCCTTTTCTGCATCTATTGAGATAATCATGTGGTTTTTGTCTTTGGCTCTGTTTATATGCTGGATTACATTTATTGATTTGGGTATATTGAACCAGCCTTGCATCCCAGGGATGAAGCCCACTTGATCATGGTGGATAAGCTTTTTGATGTGCTGCTGGATTCGGTTTGCCAGTATTTTACTGAGGATTTTTGCATCAATGTTCATCAAGGATATTGGTCTAAAATTCTCTTTTTTGGTTGTGTCTCTGCCAGGCTTTGGTATCAGAATGATGCTGGCCTCATAAAATGAGTTAGGGAGGATTCCCTCTTTTTCTATTGATTGGAATAGTTTCAGAAGGAATGGTACCAGTTCCTCCTTGTACCTCTGTTAGAATTCGGCTGTGAATCCATCTGGTCCTGGACTCTTTTTGGTTGGTAAACTATTGATTATTGCCACAATTTCAGATCCTGTTATTGGTCTATTCAGAGATTCAACTTCTTCCTGGTTTAGTCTTGGGAGAGTGTATGTGTCGAGGAATGTATCCATTTCTTCTAGATTTTCTACTTTATTTGCATAGAGGTATTTGTAGTATTCTCTGATGGTAGTTTGTATTTCTGTGGGATCGGTGGTGATATCCCCTTTATCATTTTTTATTGCATCTATTTGATTCTTCTCTCTTTTTTTATTAGTCTTGCTAGTGGTCTATCTATTTTCTTGACCCTTTCAAAAAACCAGCTCTGGGATTAATTAATTTTTTGAAGGGTTTTTTGTGTCTCTATTTCCTTCAGTTCTGCTCTGATTTTAGTTATTTCTTGCCTTCTGCTAGCTTTTGAATGTGTTTGCTCTTGCTTTTCTAGTTCTTTTAATTGTGATGTTAGGGTGTCAATTTTGGGTCTTTCCTGCTTTCTCTTGTGGGCATTTAGTGCTATAAATTTCCCTCTACACACTGCTTTGAATGTGTCCCAGAGATTCTGGTATGTTGTGTCTTTGTTCTCGTTGGTTTCAAAGAACATCTTTATTTCTGCCTTCATTTCGTTAGGTACCCAGTAGTCATTCAGGAGCAGGTTGTTCAGTTTCCATGTAGTTGAGTGGTTTTGAGTGAGATTCTTAATCCTGAGTTCTAGTTTGATTGCACTGTGGTCTGAGAGATAGTTTGTTACAATTTCTGTTCTTTTACATTTGCTGAGGAGAGCTTTACTTCCAAGTATGTGGTCAATTTTGGAATAGGTGTGGTGTGGTGCTGAAAAAAATGTATATTCTGTTGATTTGGGGTGGAGAGTTCTGTAGATGTCTATTAGGTCTGCTTGGTGCAGAGCTGAGTTCAATTCCTGGGTATCCTTGTTGACCTTCTGTCTCGTTGATCTGTCTAATGTTGACAGTGGGGTGTTAAAGTCTCCCATTATTAATGTGTGGGAGTCTAAGTCTCTTTGTAGGTCACTCAGGACTTGCTTTATGAATCTGGGTGCTCCTGTATTGGGTGCATATATATTTAGGATAGTTAGCTCTTCTTGTTGAATTGATCCCTTTACCATTATGTAATGGCCTTCGTCTCTTTTGATCTTTATTGGTTTAAGGTCTGTTTTATCAGAGACTAGGATTGCAACCCCTGCCTTTTTTAATTTTCCATTTGCTTGGTAGATCTTCCTCCATCCTTTTATTTTGAGCCTATGTGTGTCTCTGCACGTGAGATGGGTTTCCTGAATACAGCACACTGATGGGTCTTGACTCTTTATCCAATTTGCCAGTCTGTGTCTTTTAATTGGAGAATTTAGTCCATTTACATTTAAAGTTAATATTGTTATGTGTGAATTTGATCCTGTCATTATGATGTTAGCAGGTGATTTTGCTCGTTAGTTCATGCAGTTTCTTCCTAGTCTCGATGGTCTTTACATTTTGGCATGATTTTGCAGCGGCTGGTACCGGTTGTTCCTTTCCATGTTTAGTGCTTCCTTCAGGAGCTCTTTTAGGGCAGGCCTGCTGGTGACAAAATCTCTCAGCATTTGCTTGTGTGTAAAGGATTTTATTTCTCCTTCACTTATGAAGCTTAGTTTGGCTGGATATGAAATTCTGGGTTGAAAATTCTTTTCTTTAAGAATGTTGAATATTGGCCCCCACTCTCTTCTGGCTTGTAGGGTTTCTGCCGAGAGATCCGCTGTTAGTCTGATGGGCTTCCCTTTGAGGGTAACCTGACGTTTCTCTCTGGCTGCCCTTAACATTTTTTCCTTCATTTCAACTTTGGTGAATCTGACAATTATGTGTCTTGGAGTTGCTCTTCTCGAGGAGTATCTTTGTGGCATTCTCTGTATTTCCTGAATCTGAATGTTGGCCTGCCTTGCTAGATTGGGGAAGTTCTCCTGGATAATATCCTGCAGAGTGTTTTCCAACTTGGTTCCATTCTCCCCATCACTTTCAGGTACACCAATCAGATGTAGATTTGGTCTTTTCACATAGTCCCATATTTCTTGGAGGCTTTGCTCATTTCTTTTTATTCTTTTTTCTCTAAACTTTCCTTCTCGCTTCATTTCATTCATTTCATCTTCCATCGCTGATACCCTTTCTTCCAGTTGATCGCATTGGCTCCTGAGGCTTCTGCATTCTTCACGTAGTTCTCGAGCCTTGGTTTTCAGCTCCATCAGCTCCTTTAAGCACTTCTCTGTATTGGTTATTCTAGTTATACATTCTTCTAAATTTTTTTCAAAGTTTTCAACTTCTTTGCCTTTGGTTTGAATGTCCTCCCGTAGCTCAGAGTAATTTGATCGTCTGAAGCCTTCTTCTCTCAGCTCGTCAAAGTCGTTCTCCGTCCAGCTTTGTTCCATTGCTGGTGAGGAATTGCGTTCCTTTGGAGGAGGAGAGGCGCTCTGCTTTTTAGAGTTTCCACTTTTTCTGTTCTGTTTTTTCCCCATCTTTGTGGTTTTATCTACTTTTGGTCTTTGATGATGGTGATGTACAGATGGGTTTTTGGTGTGGATGTCCTTTCTGTTTGTTAGTTTTCCTTCTAACAGACAGGACCCTCAGCTGTAGGTCTGTTGGAGTACCCTGCCGTGTGAGGTGTCAGTGTGCCCCTGCTGGGGGGTGCCTCCCAGTTAGGCTGCTCGGGGGTTAGGGGTCAGGGACCCACTTGAGGAGGCAGTCTACCCGTTCTCAGATCTCCAGCTGCGTACTGGGAGAACCACTGCTCTCTTCAAAGCTGTCAGACAGGGACATTTAAGTCTGCAGAGGTTACTGCTGTCTTTTTGTTTGTCTGTGCCCTGCCCCCAGAGGTGGAGCCTACAGAGGCAGGCAGGCCTCCTTGAGCTGTGGTGGGCTTCACCCAGTTCCAGCTTCTGGGCTGCTTTGTTTACCTAAGGAAGCCTGGGCAATGGCGGGCGCCCCTCCCCCAGCCTCGCTGCTGCCTTGCAGTTTGATCTCAGACTGCTGTGCTAGCAATCAGCGAGACTCCGTGGGCGTAGGACCCTCTGAGCCAGGTGCGGGATATAATCTCGTGGTGTGCCGTTTTTTAAGCCCGTCAGAAAAGCGCAATATTCGGGTGGGAGTGACCCGATTTTCCAGGTGCCGTCTGTCACCCCTTTCTTTGACTAGGAAAGGGAACTCCCTGACCCCTTGCGCTTCCCGAGTGAGGCAATGCCTCACCCTGCTTCGGCTCACGCATGGTGCGCGCACCCACTGACCTGTGCCCACTGTCTGGCACTCCCTAGTGAGATGAACCCGGTACCTCAGATGGAAATGCAGAAATCACCCGTCTTCTGCGTCGCTCACGCTGGGAGCTGTAGACCGGAGCTGTTCCTATTCGGCCATTTTCTGATTGGGTTAATTTGAAAGACTAGTCGTCAAGCTCTGAAATCTTTCTTCTGGTTTGTCTAGTCTATTGTTAAGGCTTTCAACAGTGTTTTGAAGTTCCTTCAGCAAATTTATCATTTTCAGATATTCCATTTGTTTTTTAAAAAATATATCTATGTTGTCTTTCATCTCTTAGATTGTTTCTCTAGTTGCTTTGGTTTTCAACTTTCTCTTGTATCTCACTAGGCTTCTTAACAGTCCATATCTTAAATTCTTTATCTGTCATTTCAAAGTTTTCATTTTCATTAAGATTCATTGCTAGAGAGCTAATGTGGTCCTTTAGGGGTGTCACAACATTCTATTTCTTCCTGGTGTTGGAGCTCTTGTGCTGGTTCCTTCTCATGTGTAGAAGCTGGCACTTATTATTTTTGGATTTATCTTCATTTGGGTGGGATTATTTTTCGTTGCCCCTTGAGGGTGTGACTCTTGCATATGTTGGGTTGTGTCCTTTGGCTTTGCTTCTACGTGCTTTTAGGGGGCCAAGGCTCTGTATAAATTCCTTGGTTACAGATAGCCTTAGTGTAGTTGTTTTCTCAAATGTTAATTGTTTGTAGTTTGTAGTAGTGGTATGCTGTATATGTGGTAAGGCTCACTGTCTCCTATAGAGATGCAAAGTTGGAGGTCTTTTGGGGGAAACTTACCTCATTCCTTAGAGCTGTGTACTTGTCAGCAGGAATTATATTGGGTTGTGCAGTTCACCCTACAGGCCAGCAGGTGATGCCTGCAGGTAAGAGCTGTCTGAGTGCTGTGCAATGATATCAACAGTTGCTGCGACAGGACATGCAGTTTTGACCTCCTGGCCAGTAGGTGATGCTGGCAGGTGAGAGGCAGCTGCAGTGATGACAGTGGGATTTTTACTTGGCCTTTGTTGATAAGGAATACAAGAGTGTTCTTGGTGATGGGTGGGGGGTGTGGAGCTCTCAGTGGTCCCATCCCATGCTCTGCTCCCAAGGCTGGCTAGAGGGGGCAAAGCTGGGTGGGACTGGGTCTGGTGAGCCCGTGATCAGGCTCTCTGAGGCAGACGTGACCTTGGTAGGGCTGTAGGGGCAGTTCTCAGGCAGCTGGAACAACACTCTAGGGAGGGGTGCAGGCACCTCTTCTGTGCCACAAGAGCTGGTTCAGGGTAAGAGGGCTAGCCCTGGGATTTCATTCCAGCAGATGGCCATGAGGCCCACTCAGCTTCTACACCCCTGACTGGTGGGTCTCCCTCCAGTGTCCACCCTGGCAGCCGGCCCAATTAGTTATGCAAATCCCAAACCACCTGTGCCCAGACTGCCATGCCATCCCAGGCATTCCAGAATGCAAGACTCCCTGCAGCAGAAAGCAAGGCTATGAGGCTATACCCTTCCTAGTCTATTCTCATGAAGGGAGGGGTGCCCAGCTTCTGTACCACCTGAAAAACCCACACCACACTCTTCCCTGTGTTCTGACAGTGGGGGTTCCTCCCCTGCTTGAGATCAGGCCACAGATCTCATCCCCATATTCCTGGGTGGTATGCTTGAGTCCTGGCAAACTGAGACCAGGCCAGTGGATTTGTCCTCTGGCTCCTTAGGATCAACCACTGGCAGTGATAGGAGGAGTAAAGTGTTCCCAGGTAGCCAATAAACCACTCAGGTGGGGCAATGGAGGCTATGCTGTGGGTCCCACTCCACAGCAATGGCCAGGCAGGCAATCTTAGGAGGGACTGGCAGGCATGGTCGTGTGTGGTTTAGATTCACCTCAGTCCTGCAGGAATGGTGGTGGATCCTGAATTGGTCATGTGAACATGCATGGGCCCCACTCTATCCTGGTGTGGCAGACAGCAGATGTAGCCGCTCGGATGCAGGGCACTCGGGGGTGGGTGCCCAGAGTCACGTTTTGCTGCAGCTGCCTAGCACACTGAAGGCTTTTGGGCTCCTTGTGGCTTCAAGTAGTGCCTCTGTATGGTCTCCAGGCAGCTCCTCCTACCAATCCAAACGTATTCAGGGGTTGTGGGAACTCCTCTAGAATTTCAGAGGTTGACAGTGGGAAAGTGGTGTTCCCGGGTTTCTTCACTCACACCTTCCTTGGGTCCATTCTGGTCCTAAGGTGTCTGGCAATACTGAGCCAGCAGTGTTGCTTCCTACTTCTTCAATCATGTCTGTCATGGCCTATATATTAAATTTCAGTGTTTTCTCTCAAAAGATCTGTTGAAAGTGTGAGGGTTTACTCAATATTTTGGTTCCTCTCTGTAGAAGAGGTGCATCCCAGATCCAGCTAGTTGGCCATCTTTAATCCCTCTCCTCATTTTTCATTTATTATTCTATTTGGATATTCCCTCCTTTTTTAAATTCTAGCTAAATGTTTGTTGATTTTATCTTCTCAAAAAACTAACTCAGTTTTGTTGATCTTTTGTATTGTTTTTCTACTCTTTATTTCATTTATTTGTGCTCTAATCTTTATTATTTCATTCCTTCTTCTAACTTTGGTTTTACTTTGTTCTTATTTTTCTAGTTCCATGAGGTCCAATATTAAGTTGTTTATTTAAGATCATTCCTTATTCTTAATGTAGGCATTTATTGCTATAAAATTCTCTTTTAGAACTGCTTTTGCTGCATTCCATGTTTTGGTATGTTATGTTTCCATTTTTGTTTGTTTCAAGATATTTTTTACTTCCCCTTTCATTTCTTCTTTGACCTTTGGTTGTTCAGGAGTGTGTTGCTTAATTTCCACATATTTGTGAATTTTCCAATTTTCCTCCTGTTACGGATTTATGGTTTCATGCCACTGTTGACAGAAAACATACTTGATATAATTTTAATTTTAAATTTGTTAAAACTTATCTTGTGGCCTAACAAATAATCTGTCCTGGAGAATGTTACATGTTTGAGTGAGAAAAATGTGCATATTCTGCTACTGTTGAATGGAATGTTCTGTATATCAGGTCCATTTTGTCTAGTGTTGTTCAAATCCACTGTTTCTTTATTGATTTTCTGTCTAGATGATTTCTCCATTATTGAAAGCACTGAAGACCCCTATGATTACTGTACTGCTATCTATTTCTCCCTTCAGTTATATTTTTTCTTTACATATTTATGTGCTCCAAAATTGGTGGCAAATATATTTAGAATTGTATCATCTTGATAAATTGACCTCTTTATCATTATACAATGACCTTCATTGCCTCTTGTGACAATTTTTTACTTAAAATTTATTTTGCCTGGTGTAAAAATGGCCACCACTGCTCTCTTTTGGTTCCACTTACATGGAACATATTTTTCCAACCTTCCTCTTTCATCTTATCTGTATCTTTAAAGGTAAAATAAGTCTCCTGTAGGCAGCTTGTAGTTGGGTCAGTTTTAAAAAATGCATTTAAAGCCTGAGCAACATAGCAAGACCCCATCTTTCCATGAAAGTTTTTTTTTTTTTTAAATTAGCCACATGTGGTGGCATATGCCTGTAGTCCTAGCTACTTAGGAGACTAAAGCAAGAAGACTGCTTGAGTCCAGGAGGTTGAAGTTACAGTGGGCTGTGACTGCATCACTGCACTCTACCCTGGTGACACAGCAAGGCCCTATCTCTGTATTAAAAACATGCATAGTAACAATGTATTTTGATTACTGAGTTTAATCCATTTGCATTTAAAGTAATTATTGATAAGTAAAAACTACTGCCATTTTATTGTTTTCTGAAAAGTTTTAAGTGCCTTTGTTTCTTTGCTGCTTCCATTGATATTTTATATATATATATATATTTTTTGCAATCGCATGGTTTATCTTTTGTGTATCTAACACAGTTTTTTTCTTTTAATTATCCAAAAGGCTTACAAAAACCATTTTATAGTCATAACAATCTATTTTAAACTGATAAGAACTTAATTTCCATCACATATAAAAACTACACTTTTACCTCTCCCCTCCCACATTCTGTGTTAATTTATACCACAATTTACATACTTGTATATTGTATATCTATTAAAAATTATTGTAGCTATATTTTAATACCTTGTTTTTTATTTTTATATTAGAGTTACAAGACATTTACACAACATCATTATAGTATCACAGCATTCTGAATTTATTTCTTTTTTAACTGTCCCCTCAGGTATTTATCCTTTGAGTTACAAACAATCCAATTATACTCTTTTATTTTAAAATGTAAAATTAAGTTATTATTGACTGCAGTCACCCTATTGTGCTATCAAATAGTAGGTCTTATTCATTCTTTCTCACTATATAGAATAGTATTTATAGTTTGGAACTTCTTTACTAGTGAGTTTTATTCTTTCATGTTTTCATGTTGCTAATTAGTGTTCTTTTGTTTCAACTTGAAAAACTGCCTTCAGTTTTTCTTACGAAGCAGGTTTAACAGTGACAAAATCCCTCAGCTTTTGTTTTTGGGAAAGTATTTCTTCTTCATTTCTGAAGTATAACTTTGCTGGGTATAGTATGCTTGGTCAGCAGTGTTTTTCTTTTGGCACTTTGAATATATCATCCCACTTTCTCCTTGCTTGACAGGTTTCTGCACAGAAATCTGCCTACAGTCTTATGGAGTCTGCAACTTTTCTTTTGCTGCTTTCAAAACTGTCGTTGACTTTTCATAATTTGATTGTAATGTGCCTTAGTGAAGATCTTTTTATGTTCAATCTATTGGACTTCTTTGATCTTTACAGATCTGAATGTCCATTTGGGCTTTTTGAATCTGTAGTATGGTGTTTTTCACTGATTATAAATAAAAACCTCAGCCATTATTTCTTCAAGTATGGCTGCTGCCCTAGTATCTTTTCTCCTGGCATAAGATGTATTGAATCTTCATGTATCTTAACCTGTTTTTCATATCTTTTCTTTTTTCTTTTTTTTCTGAGATAGAGTCTTACTCTGTCGCCCAGGCTGGAGTGCAGTGGCATCATCTCGGCTCACTGCAAGCTCTGCCTCCCGGGTTCACGCCATTCTCCTGCCTCAGCCTCCCGAGTAGCTGGGACTACAGGCACCTGTTTTTCATATTTTTTCTATGTGTCTCTCTGAGTTCCATTTAGTGTAATTTTTCTCTATCTTCCAAATTATTAATTTTTCTTTAACCCTGTTTAATTTGTTGTTAAATGTATCCTCTGAATTTCAAATTCCTACTATTCAATTTTTTATTTTTAGTTCTATTAGATTATTCTTAAAACACACTGGTTTTATTTTATCATATCATAGCAGATAACCATCTGATTTTTCTTTAAACAAGACAGTAGTCATTTTATAAATCTGTATGACGTAACTCTAGTAATTAGCCTTTATGGGTCAGTTTCTGCTTCCTTTTGTTTCTGGTAATTCTCACTCATGTTTCTACCTTCTTGCTAAATTATTTGGGAGACTTCTATAGTACTAGGATGAAGGTATATTTCTCCAAAAGACTTGTGTTTACTTCTGCCTGGTGCCAATAGATATTTGTAGCAGTTCCACTTTAAACTCAAATATGGCTTGAGATTTTTCAGGCTACACAGCAATGTAAACTTGGACTTCAAATCAGTGCGAGACAGCTTGTGGTTACTACTTCTCAAAGACAATCCTCCATTCCCTGAATACCTAACCAGGGAAACTTTGCTTGTTCACTCTCAAGGATGGTAGAGATGGAAAATGGTTTGCTTTTAGTTCATCCTCACAGTCGAGACATAATCCATACTGCTATTAAACTATCTTTGGTGGTCTTGGGCTTTGTTTCCTCTCAGAAGCCTGAAAATCACCTTACATTTCACTGGCTAGGCAAATGTATTCAGGACCAAAGTGTCTTCTATGATCTGCTCTGTTTACTTCTATGGGTTCCTTTTTTCACTTAGATTTTGACAAGGTAGTGTCTTACTTAGCTCTTTAGAAGTGCTAAGAAGTTTTTTGTTTTTGTTTTTAATCTAGCACCATTAGTTGTTTTCAGTAAAAAGGGTTAGTTCAAATAATCGAACCCAACATATTCTCAGAAGCAGAACCTGTTCACTGATTTTTTCACCTTCCTTTCTCCCTTCATCTACCTTATTCTTATTGCCCCCTTTTTTCCCCAGACAGATCATTTCCTTCTTGATTACCTATTAAGACTCTGGATCAACTACGTAATTCAGGCCACAGATAAGAAATACATAAGAAACCCTTGCTCCAAAAATGTTTGAGCTTAGTATTAACATTAACAGGTTCATAGCTCTACAATTAACCAGCTGCCATAAGTGAGCAAGTCAACTTCTCTGAGTCTCACTTTCTAGAAACCTGGGACTGTATCTAAAAACAGCCCTTTCCAATTCTTATATATTCTATCTCCTTTCTGTCTTTCAATTATCTCCCTTCTATTCCCATCCCATGGGCAACTACTTTAACTCAAAAACCCTTAACACTGCCTGATTATTACAGCCGTCTCGTTGAAGACACTACCTCAGCCTCCCTCCCTCTAAAATTCTTTTTCCATATTACACCAGACTTATTTATAAATTATTTTAATGATGTTCTTCTCATAGCTTCCATGATAAGGTTCAAATTCCTTGACATAGTACACAAATCACTTCATATTTTTTCCCTTGTTTACTTCTCTGATCTCATTTTCTGTGAACACTTTGCTCAAGCCTCTGTGGCTTCATGTATGTTGCCTCTTTTGCCTGAAAACCTTATATTCACTGTACTTTGTCTAATTAACCTCCATCGGTCCTTAAGAACTAAAGACCACTCTGTTTCACTCAGAACTCTTCTACGACTTCTCCTTCCTTCTCTAATTCGGATGCTCCTCCTTGATGCTGCCATATAATGTATACCTAAATAAAACTATAATGTATTTGTGACTTATTTATCTCTCTTCTCCATTAAGCCATATAAACATCATTCATGCAGAGAGTCTTATCCACAGTTGCAACCAATTTCTACAGAGGTTGCTGAATGGACAAATGAACAACACTATAAAATGAGAGGGCTGATTACATTATTTCAAAAGTCCCTTGTTAACCATTAGATTTGTCATATTGTAGAAATCTTAACTTCTGCCAATCTGTGCCTATTATCTGAGCTTTTATCTACACTTCCATATTTCATTATCCAGATAATATCCTGACCTGCATGCCTGACCCACTTTTCCAGATTTTAGTTTTGATATCTTGTCTAGACGACCTCTTTGAACTTGAATTCTTGCTGGGAAGCTTCTCCTTTGACTGGTCTTGGATTCGATTTATTGCGTGTACTTGTTTACCTTTTCTGATGCCCTTGTTCCTGATCCCCAACCTCTCTAATTAATACTATGCCACTTCCATATCCCATTTTTATATCATTGGTGCTTAACCTGGCAAGACAGGCTAAATAATTTAATTAGTTTATTAGGAAAAGTAGAAAGAAGAAATTTTAGAGCTAGAATAAAAGACTAGGTCCAATTTCTCCATTTGACAGATGAGGAAGAAGATTAAACTTTCAGTGTTTACTCACTGAAAGTGCAGCAAGTAGAGGGTCTCCTTACTTTCACCGCTCCTTCCACTCAGCCATACTTTGAGTAAAAGTAAAAATTTAAAGTGAAAAAACCACCTTACTTAAAGGATTCTGATGTATGTATAGAGAGGTTTACAAGCACTAAAAATACCTCCATGATTTATATGTGTTTGGGATTTTTGCATATTGAATTATAATTTCACTATATCTATATGATATTTATTGGTTTCTAAGTAGAGTATTCATTCGGGGTTACAATAAAAAATTAAAGGTAGGTTCAATTATATCAACAATATTTGGAAAGCTTGATCCTGGTTAATAAATTCTACTAAATTTCAATACATTATATGCATTGTAAATATGGTCAAAATAACTTGCTTATTCTGCTTCATAATCCACTTTTTAGTAAGTAGGACACCTAATATTTATTGATAGCCAAATTTACTATTGATTTCAAACTTTTCATCCAATTTATCTTTTCAGTTAATATATATTTTAAAAAACGAATCATGAGAATACAATATTACAAAAAAAAATCAGACTTACTGTCATCCTCCCAGCAGTTCTTAGCATTCCCTTCTCTTTCACTGCTCCTCCCTGGTAACACTGTCTGGTCTGTTGGCAGGTCATCCTCTGGTACACCTTCACAGTCAGCTGCATCTGTAACACTTTCTTCTTCCACAATATGCAGTTTGTCTTCATCATCTGAATCTGAATTTGTTTCTACCACAGTATTATAATTTGTAACTGTAATACAAACAAGAAACAAATAATCAAAACCAACTAGTAAAACAATCAGTTTTTACATCTCAGAAAAATAAAAAAGATGCTTAAAACAGATTGTAATTCAATGTTTTCTTTTAAATAATGTTAACAACTAATTTATTTGACAACACACATATGTAACACTAGATATTACATGACCAAAATGACAAATAGTAGCTACCCTTATTGAATACTTACTATATATAGACCTGCTTTATAAATACTAACCCATTAAATTCTTACAACAATCTTATAACAGCCTTATGAAATAAGAGTTCTACCACTTACTACTTATATCCTTGTTTTATATGTAAGAAAATCAAGGCAGAGAGAGAGTAACTTGTCTAAGATCACAGCTAGGAAGTGGCAGAGCCAGGATTTTAACAGCAACAGTCTGATTCCATATTTTGTGCTCTTAAACTCTATATTAAACCTCCCCTCCAATGATAACGAGCCTACAGCATACGATATTGCTTATGTACAATTAGGGCTTTGAATCCTTAAAGGATTGCAACTTAAGAAAAGAGGCCATCTTTCCTAACAAAATAGCATTACATCATCAAGTTTACCACAAGTATTTTTAAGCTGTTAATGATCCATGCATTACATTATTAATCCAACACTGACTTTAGAAAGAATCAACCAAATTAGTCAATTTCTATATAATTAAGTTTGTCATTCTGAATAACTGACATTTGGAAGTTTTCAAATGAGCACCTTTTTCTATAATTTTTAATGAATTTCAATAAAATATAACATCAGCATTTTATTATTCTGAGTGATTTCTATAGTTCATAGAACCAGGAGTATAAGCTGAGAATAAAATTCTATAAAATAAATAATCTAGTATAATCAATGTTTTCCTTTAGAGTCCTTGCAATAATCACTCTAACAGGATGAATATTTAGTACTTCATTGGGTATGGTCACTAGAATATCTCTTTTAAACTACTTTCAGGGTGATTCTTATTTGCTAAGAAAAGATTCGGAAGAAGGGAGAAAAAGAAGCTTCACTTTATTTAGATAACTAGGCAGTAATTACTATCAGTTATTCTTTCCACTGCTTCCTTAAATTTTCCAACAATTCTTGAAAAATAATCACCTAAATGCTTAAATAATATGTATACATATCCCTCTACACACACACACACACACACACACACACACACACACACACACACACACACACTCCTGAGAACACGAAGGAAGAAATACAATTGAAAATATGGGTAGATATTTAAAGGTGAAAACAAATAACCAAAACTCCAAAACAGCTTTTATAGACTTTAGGAAGACTCTTGTCCAAAAGAGTACCAGAGGTCACCACTGTGCTCACATATTAGGAGTTCTTCAATATCTTGTGTCAGAAGAAAAACGTCAAGTTTTGTTATGCCATTAATATTTTAGTATGAATATGCTTTTCCAGATCTTTTCCCAAGAGTAAATGGTTTTCTCTCTTATTTTATTATAAAAGTAATGCATGTAAAATCAGTCAATGCAAAACATGTAAAGTTAGTAAAGGCAGCCCTATTTTTCCTTCCTCAATCCACTCCATAAAGATAAAAATAATGGCAAATTTTATTAATTATTTCAATGCACTAAGTAGGCATGATGTAACTCATTTTATATACTTTTCTTACTTAGTTGTAACACAAACCTCACCTTATCTTATATTTAATATAAATCCAGCATCACCTATATACAAATGTGTGTATATATAATTCAAAATACACATGATCACATCATACTGCTTTGCCACTTATATTATGCCACTTTATAACATGTCTTGGAAGCCTTTCTATGTCAGTACAGACAGTCCCTGACTAATTATGGCTTGATTTACAATGTTTTGACTTTATGATGGTGCAACACCATTCTGTTTTTCACCCTTGGTACAGTATTCAATAAATGACAAGAGATATTCAACATCATATTAAAACATAGGCTTCATGTTATGATTTGCCCAACTGTAAGCTATAAGTGTTGCAGGCATATTTAAGGCAGGCTAAGCTCAGCTATGATGTTTGATAGGTTAAGTATATTAAATGCATTTTCGATTTCACAGTATTTTCAACTTACGATGAATTTATCAGGACATAACACCATCATAATTCATAAGTCAAGGGGCATCTATATACATAAAGCTTTCTTATTTCCCTCTGGATAGCTACACAGCATTCTATCATACAGATATACTTCAACCTATGATCTATTGATAATTTTTTTGCCTGTGTTAAGCACTAGCAACAATGCCATAATTTTTCTTGTAAATATGTATAATTTTGGCCATTCCTTATATATACTTATCAGATTAGTAGGGGTGAAACTTTAGAGTAAAAGGGAAGACTTATGAAGTAGATACTGTTAAACTGCCTTCCAGAATGGTTTTATGTTTCCATAAATATTATCTGAGGAGGTCTATTCAGTATATCAATACAATAAAGAAAAAAGTCACTTTAATATAGTAATGAGAAAATACGTGTCAAGATGGAAAAACAGCCACACTATGAGCAGCCACACTACAAGCAGAGTGAAGTCCGTGTGTGGGTAAGGGGAATGATTTTTAAAAGGCTGTTTCACAGCTGACTATAAGCTTAAGTTTCCTGACTGTAAGAGTTTCCTGATGGGCCTTTAACTCATAGTAAGAGGCAAATACACACACACACACACACACACACACACAACACACACACACACACACACACACGGAATGGAGATGCTTACTGGCAAATGATGCACAATGCTATTAACTTTCATTTTTACTTTCAGTACTTATTAGCAACCTACTTGATAAAGTCATTTTAAGTTGGCATTTATATATGACAAGCTAAAATTAGAACATGGTAAGTATTTGCTGAGGATTAATCAATTCTATACTCCACTAAGATCTGGCTATCATGTAAGGTCTGGCTCACTGCAAGGCTCTCAAATATGCTTGACCAGTGAAACTGCATGCCTAGATAGCTGACATTCCTGCTGTTTTGCGAAGGGAGGCTTCTGGACATCTTTGGTATCTTGAGTTGGCCATGGTTTTATGCTGATGCCATTCTTACCTTTTAATGATGCAATATTGCAGCCTAGCATTATATTATCAATTTTGTTAGCTGTAGGTTCTCTGGTTGACCTTGGATTGCACATTTAACACATTTATATCTAGAGTATTTTGGGCTTGAAAACTTCCCCCAAATTAGGCTTTAAGACATATATGCATTCTGGTTCAAATGCTTGCTTGCATGGTTCATATTTTTTTACTGAGTTCTTTTTAACCAGAGATACTGGGTGTTCTATTCTGCCCAAGTCAACCATAGCTCAAAGCACTCTTAAAGACTGCCTATCACTTTCTGGGACTCTAGCAGAACTCCTTCCTGTCCCCTGTATAAGCTGCCATTGTAAGATAGATTATGTCATAAATCCAAAACACAGAGATTGTATATATTTTATAACTATCTTGTGAATTTTCCCAGAGCATGTTTGATATGTGTCATAAAATGGGAAAAATCCAAAAAATCAATGTATTTTATCTGCTGAGATGGAAAAAAAGACCGATAACTATTTTCCAAGATTTTTACTGTCTTTTGCTTCTGTCACTTAGCTGAGAGAAAAAAAACAGTGAAAACTGCTGATATTAATGACTGAAACTTAAATTAATAGTCAAGCTTACTTGTATTTCTGAATCTATCATTTTGTTTGTGGATCTACACAGCTTATTTAAAAAATGGCCCACCACCAAAAGCATACAGAGTAATGCAGGCCCTTGATAAATTCTAGTAGCCAATGAGGGCTTCAGTTATCTAAATGTTCTGTCCAATGATCTCTATACCCCTGAACTGTTTAACCTGTGGCTGAAAATATAGTATAGTTTATCTGAAAATAACAATCATAGGTGATCATCACATCTTGATTCTGATTTTAATTAAAATATGAAGAAAGCAAGGGTAAAAAATATGGTAAACAGTTTTAAAAATCTTTAAACATGACTTTAGATAATATGAATTTAAACTTCAATAGAAGATGGTAACATTTTCAATGCATACTTATTGTCATCAGAATGTAAAGACATGTTGACTTCTTGATGGTGGTAGTTGTTGGTATTATTTGCTAATATTTAATGCCAGACACAGCAGTAACCACTGCATACAGTGGTTGTGAAGATATAATGATTTTTAAATGTATTGTGCTTAGATCAGTGTCTGGTACACAGTAAGGACTAGAGAAGTGTTTTCTGCTACTACTATTAGCTTGGTAAATCTTTACAGCAGCTCCTAAGAAGTAGGTATTATTATATATCCCTCTGACAGACAAAGAAAAACAGAGTACCTAAGTAGCCTGTCTGAGGTTATGTAGCTACTAAGTTGAAGAGTGAAAGCCAGGTTGGCTAGATTCCACAGCCTACATACTTCATTATGTGCAAAGGCTCCTGACTGAAAATCGTTACACTGATGAAAAATATTCTTAAACTTTTGTGTGTATACTTATTTTGGGGTACTGAAATTCCATACTTAACAATTTACCACTGCAGATATTTTCTAATGACTAAACAATTTTAACCATTAGAATCTCATAATATTTGAACAGTGTATTACAGCATAATATCATCCTTATAGTCAAATCTTTTTATTATTATACTTTAAGTTCTGGGGTACATCGCAGAACGTGCAGGTTACATAGGTATACACATGCCTTGGTGATGTGCTGCTCCATCAACCCATCACCTACATTAGGTATTTCTTCTAATGCTATTCTCCCCTAGACCCCCACCCCGCCAACAGGCCCTGGTGTGTGATGCTGCCCTTCCTATGTCCATGTGTTCTTATTGTTCAACTCCCACCCATGAGTGAGAACATGCGGTGTTTGGTTTTCTGTTCTTGTGATAGTTTGCTGAGAATGATGGTTTCTGGCTTCATCCATGTCCCTGCAAAGGAGAGGAACTCATCCTGTTTTAGGGCTGCATAGTATTTCATGGTGCATATGTGCCACATTTTCTTTATCCAGTCTATTATTGATGGACATTTGGGTTGGTTCCAAGTCTTTGCTATTGTAAATAGTGCTGCAATAAACATACGTGTGCATGTGTCTTTATAGCAGCATGATTTATAATCCTTTGGGTATATACCGAGTAATGGGATGGCTGGGTCAAATGGTATTTGTAGTTCTAGATCCTTGAGGAATCGCCACATTGTCTTCCACAATGGTTGAACTAATTTACACACCCACAACAGTGTAAAAGTGTTCCTATTTCTCCACATCCTCTCCAGCACCTGTTGTTTCCTGACTTTTTAATGACCACCATTCTAACTGGTGTGAGATGGTATCTCATTGTGGTTTTGATTTGCATTTCTCTAATGACCAGTGATGATGAGCATTTTTTCATATGTCTGCTGGCTGCATAAATGTCTTCTTTTGAGAAGTGTCTGTTCATATCCTTGCCCACTTTTTGATGGGGTTGTTTTTTTCTTGTAAATTTGTTGAAGTTCTTTGTAGATTCTGGATATTAGCCCTTTGTCAGATGGATAGATTGCAAAAATTTTCTCCCATTCTGTAGGTTGCCTATTCACTCTGATGATAGTTTCTTTTGCTGTGCAGAAGCTCTTTAGTTTAATTAGATCCCATTTGTCAATTTTGGCTTCTGTTGCCATTGCTTTTGGTGTTTTAGATATGAAGTCTTTGCCCATGCCTATGACCTGAATGGATTACTCAGGTTTTCTTCTAGGGTTTTCATGGTTTTAGGTCTTACGTTTCAGTCTTTGATCCGTCTTGAGTTGATTTTTGTATAAAGTGTAAGGAAGGGGTCCAGTTTCAGTTTTCTGCATATGGCTAGCCAGTTTTCCCAACACCATTTATTAAACAGGGAATCTTTTCCCCATTTCTTGTTTGTGTCAGGTTTGTCAAAGATCAGATGGTTGTAGATGTGTGGTGTTATTTCTGAGGCCTCTGTTCTGTTCCATTGGTCTATATATCTATTTTGATACCAGTACCATGCTGTTTTGGTTACTGTAGCCAGGTAGTATAGTTTGAAGTCAGGTAGTGTGATGCCTCCAGCTTTGTTCTTCTTGCCCAGGATTGTCTTGGCTATGTGGGCTCTTTTTTGGTTCCACATGATGTTTAAAGTAGATTTTTCCAATTCTGTGAAGAAAGTCAGTGGTAGCTTGATGGGGACAGTATTGAATCTATAAATTACTTTCGGCAGTATGGCCATTTTCACTATATTGTGATTCTTCTTATCCATGAGCATGGAATGTTTTTCCATTTGTTGTGTCCTCTCTTATTTCCTTGAGAAGTGGTTTGTAGTTCTCCTTGAAGAGGTCCTTCACATCCCTTGTAAGCTGTATTCCTAGGTACTTTATTCTTTTAATAGTAATTGTGAATGGGAGTTCACTCATGATTTGGTTCTCTGTTATTGGTGTATAGGAATGCTTGTGATTTTTGCACATTGATTTTGTATCCTGAGACTTTGCTGAAGTTGTTTATCAGCTTAAGGAGATTTGGGGCTGAGACAAAGGGGTTTTCTAAATATACAATCATGTCATCTGCAAACAGAGACAATCTGACTTCCTCTCTTCCTATTTGAATACCCTTTATTTCTTTCTCTTGCATGCCAAGTCTCTGCCCTGGCCAGAAATTCCAACACTATGTTGAATAGGAGTGGTGAGAGAGGGCATCTTTGTCTTGTGCTAGTTTTCAAAGGGAATGCTTGCAGTTTTCACCCATTCAGTAAGATATTGGCTGTGGGTTTGTCATAAATAGCTTTTATTATTTTGAGATACATTCCATCAATACCTAGAGCTCGTGGAGAGTTTCTAGCATGAAGGGGTGTTGAATTTTATCAAAGGCTTTTTCTGCATCTATTGAGATAATAATGTGGTTTTTGTGATTTGTTCCATTTATACAATGGATTACGTTTGTTGATTTGTGTATGTTCAGCCAGCCTTGCATCCCAGGTATGAAGCTGATTTGATCGTGGTGGATAAGCTTTTTGATGTCCTGCTAGATTTAGTTTGCCAGTATTTTATTGAGGATTTTCACATCGATGTTCATCAGGGATACTGGCCTGAAATTTTCCTTTTTTGTTGTGTCTCTGCCAGGTTTTGGTATCAGGATGATGCTGGCCTCATAAAATGAGTTCGGGAGGATTCCCTCTTTTTCTATTATTTGGAATAGTTTCAGAAGGAATGGTACCAGCTCCTCTTTGTACCTCTGGTAGAATTCGGCTGTGAATCCGTCTGGTCCTGGACATTTTTTTTTATTGGGAGGCTATTAATTACTGCCTCAATTTCAGAACTTGTTATTGGTCTATTCAGGGATTCGACTTCTTCTGGGTTTAGACTTGGGAGGGTGTATGTGTCCAGGAATTTATCCATTTCTTCCAGATTTTCTAGTTTATTTGCGAGGTCAATAAATCTTTACAAGAACTTTCACATATTATTTTTAGCACATGATTGCATGCAGCACTGTATCAACTATAGTAATTAAAGTCTCATGTAAATATCTGTTTCTTAAGTAATGTACAATCATAAAAAAGCATTAGATAACTTATATGAGTATGGTTCCAAAACCAATACATTCTCAATTTTTTATTCATTGGTATGAAAGCAAGATCACCTAAATGCTTCATAAAGAATCTCACTATCATCATTTATTGTGACTTGGAATAGCAGGATAGGGCCATGTAGAGGAAGAAACTTAGGGAAGTGGGGAAGAAAGATGGAAAAGATTAACTTTGAGGGCTTCAATTCTTGTCCGACGATAACTGTGGCATGTATTGATTAAAGCCACAGGCGAAGGCCACATTTTTACCTATTTTGGGTTGTGTAAAGGCTTTTCTTTCCAGAGGACACCCTTATTATGTTATGCCTTTAATATGTGCTTAACTATATCCCACTCATTGCCATCAAGCCCCTAAGCATGCACTCATTTGCATGTTAGAAAAGAAAGAGAAAATCTTTCTTAGAAGACTAATCCTTAAAAACTAACAGACTACTTTTAACAAACTGGTTCCACATATATCAGATAAGCATATTGTCATAATTTAAGAAATAACTAGAAAAATACATACACTTTGAGTTGTGTTCTACAGAGCCAACAGACTGTACTCATATTAAGTATAAGAATATTTTACACATTAGCACAATTCTGAGAACACCACAAATTTAGGCATGAATGCTGAGTGATGCAAAGATCGGTGGAAACACTGACCAAGTGTTTCCATCCATTATTCTTTAACATCAATTGGGACTACAATAACATCTCTCTCTCTCTCTCTCTCTCTCTCTCTCTCTCACACACACACACACACACACACACACACACACACACACACATTTTATCCTAAATACAGTCACTGGCATACTGCCTTCTACATAGTAGGTATAGAATTATTTGCTGAACTGAATATGGGACCACACTTTTTTCTTTTCTCAGTGAAGAAACAAGTCAATATACTTAAGTGTTAGCAACAATTCAGGAAAATGAAAACAAAACTGCAGTCATAACCAGACCAGGCAAACAGGTACACAAAATGGAATGGAGAGGTCATGTGGTAATTCATAGGATCAGAGAAAACTTCTGCATATAATATTACTCCAGGAAAGAGGAGCTTGTCTATAAATACTAAGCATTTACTGTAAATTTTTGTTAATCTGACTTTTGACCGAACTGATAATGTTAGCTTACTGTCTATATATATTTTACTGTATAATGAAGGATATAATGTAATATACAAATGTAATGTTATATAATAATGAACAATGTGTATATTATCTAATTTTAATTTAAATAATCTAAAAATAGGTATCATAATGGTTTTAGAGTACCCCAAGTACCATGAACATGTTAGATTTTAGTAATTCTAATGATTCAGTAAATTTTGGGTGAAATTTTTAAATCCTTCTCTAGGTAAAATCTTCATAAACTCTTTTTATATTTTCAAAATATATTTTAAAACATAACTCCAATAAAAGTCAATCATTCTAAATTTTACCCCTGCAAAAGGGGTGGTGGTTTTTAATATCTTCAGATACATGCTATTAATAGAATGAAAACTGATAGGCAAACGCAGGGAAAGGGTTGTCATTGCTCACAGAATGCTAGTTCTTATTTTCTCCTGTCTCTCATTACATGAAAGTTACTAAGGATTCGTAGGATTTCTTTGTTACTCTCTCAGTTCTTGTTCTGGCCTTTCTCTCTTCCTCCACAGATCCTGTATCTATCTGCCCCCAACAAGAGCCATCCTCCCAAATTACCTTCCCCTTTTCCCCTTTTATCTAAACTCCCATCCACTCAATGAGCTAATTTCAGCCAGTGTTCGTACAACTCACAGATAGATGAAACAGTGAAAAAGCAAAGTCCTCAAGAGATTAAATTAAATTCAGTCCCAAAAAAGATGATTCCTTTTTGTGTTGAGGAAAGTATTTGGAGTAAAATAATTCACACTAAATTACCTATAACTAATATTTCCTTCATAAGTAAAGTCTGCATTTATAAAAGGATGCTTTTTAATTCATAGAAACTGTTACTTATGGAAGATAGGTAGTATGACGAAATCTAAGTGTGAAGACAAAATCAAAAATACAAATGCGGAAAGTACTTAGTCAAAAAATAGAGAAGCCATGTAATTGATATATCAGTCCAAAAGCCCAAACTTTAAAGAATCAAGAAAAAAGATAAATTACCAGCCTACTTAATCCTAGAGAAAAAAATTAAGCAGCACGAATGTTCAATATTAAAATGCAAATGGAGTTAACTACAACTATAAAGAAATTTAGGAAACTTACTTTTTAAATATTTTGTCCAAACCTAAGCAAATAAATTTGAAAACCTAGATGAAAACCCTTTCTAGGAAAATGTAAATAATTATCACTGTATTATAGAACTTGGAAAATTATTTAAGAGACATAGACAGACACATCATAGAATAAATTTAGGAAGATAGTAGTTAACCACCCAAAACTGCCAGGTGTTTTCACAGGTAAATTTCTTCAGATCTGTAAAGGACTGATAATTTTGTAACTTTTTAAAGAGAGAGGAAAATGAAAAGTCTGAATTCTAGGAAGTCAACATAATAATTAAAATCTGAGGAAGGATATACATGCATGTGCACACACACACACACAGGCACACATGCGCACGCACGCACACACACACACACACGCTCAGTCCTAAATAAAATATGCAATGGTCCTAAATAAAATATTAAATTAAAAGAATGAAGCAAACATTACTTAATATTAGAAAATATATGTGCTTTTACTATATTAACATAAAGGACAAACGACATCTATAGATACAGAAAGGCATTTGAAAAAAATTCACCATTCCCTTGCTGATACTTTTGCATGAAAAGAAAACTGAAGTTAGTATCATAATAAATGATTATGAATGACAGGCATTTGTAAGATAAAGATGCTTAGTTTCATCATTAGTTAACAATGATTTACAAGAATAAACCAATTTTTAAAAAGAATAAAAGAGAAAGTATAAATATTAGAAAGGAGAAGCAAAATTATTTGCAGAATAACATTTATAGAAAATTCAGGAAAAATCAATAAAAAAACTATTAGCAGTAAGGACATTTGGTAAATGGTTAATTACAAATTTAAAAGAAAAAAATCAATATCTTTCCAACAGAAAAAAATCAACAGCTTTCCAATAATCAACAATAACCAGCTAAAAACACGAAAGAGGAAAAAATTCTATTACTAGCAACACAAATGAAACACATGAAGGAAAAAGCTTAAAATAAAACATGGAGGACCTACATGAAGAAAACTAGCATTCTATGTAAAAGTCATCAAATATTTGAATAAATGAAAAGCTATATCTTGGTTTTGAATAGAATGATTTTGTGTCATAAATATGTCAATTCTACCTAAATTTTTCTATAAATTCAATGCAATTTTGATCCAAATGCTACACATGGTATCTTGGATTCTAAATCTAAATGACTTAGATCAACACGTCTACAGTTTATATAGAGAAGTAGGAGCATGGTCTCTGGAACCTAACTGCCTGGCTCAAATCACAGCTTCACTGCTTACTAGCCTTGTCACCTTGAGCATGTTATATATTCTTCTAATGTCTCAGTTTCCTCATTGCCAAGATTGAAATATTAATAGTATACCCCTGACATGGTTATCACAATGATGAAAATAGGTATATATGCAAAACACTTGGTAATACTGCACATATATTCTTGATACATACTGTTGGTATTATTATCTGAGAAAACAAACACATTAAAATACTCAGGAAAATTCAGAAAAATAATAGTAATGGTGGTGGTAGGAGAACATAAACTAGATATACCAGAGAGTAAACTTTATCTTGAAGCTACAGAAATGGAAATAGATTTGTACTATTACAGGGATGGGCAATCAATGGACTTGAATATAATACAAAATAGACCCTAAACAAATAGGAGTCTTGCAAATTAGTGGGGGGAAAATGCATTATTTAATAAAAATCATTTGGAAAAAAATCAGATCCCCACCCCAAGACTTTCACCAAAATGAAACCCACACGAAATCAAAGACTTTAACTTAGAAAAAAAACTGAAACCATAAAAGTATTAGAAGAAAATATAGGCAGAGAGGAGCCAAGATGGCCGAATAGGAACAGCTCCAGTCTACAGCTCCCAGCGTGAGCGACGCAGAAGACGGGTGATTTCTGCATTTCCATCTGAGGTACCAGGTTCATCTCACTAGGGAGTGCCAGACAGTAGGCGCAGGCCAGTGGGTGCGCGCACTGTGCGCAAGCCGAAGCAGGGCGAGGCATTGCCTCACCTGGGAAGCGCAAGGGGTCAGGGAGTTCCCTTTCCGAGTCAAAGAAAGGGGTGACAGACGCACCTGGAAAATCGGGTCACTCCCACCCGAATATTGCGCTTTTCAGACTGGCTTAAAAAATGGCGCACCATGAGACTATATCCCACACCTGGCTCAGAGGGTCCTACGCCCACGGAGTCTCGCTGGTTGCTAGCACAGCAGTCTGAGATCAAACTGCAAGGCGGCAGCGAGGCTGGGGGAGGGGCGCCCGCCATTGCCCAGGCTTGATTAGGTAAACAAAGCAGCCAGGAAGCTCCAACTGGGTGGAGCCCACCACAGCTCAAGGAGGCCTGCCTGCCTCTGTAGGCTCCACCTCTGGGGACAGGGCACAGACAAACAAAAAGACAGCAGTAACCTCTGCAGACTTAAATGTCCCTGTCTGACAGCTTTGAAGAGAGCAGTGGTTCTCCCAGTACGCAGCTGGAGATCTGAGAATGGGCAGACTGCCTCCTCAAGTGGGTCCCTGACCCCTGACCCCTTAGCAGCCTAACTGGGAGGCACCCCCCAGCAGGGGCACACTGACACCTCACACGGCAGGGTATTCCAACAGACCTGCAGCTGAGGGTCCTGTCTGTAAGAAGGAAAACTAACAAACAGAAAGGACATCCACACCGAAAACCCATCTGTACATCACCATCATCAAAGACCAAAAGTAGATAAAACCACAAAGATGGGGAAAAAACAGAACAGAAAAAGTGGAAACTCTAAAACGCAGAGTGCCTCTCCTCCTCCAAAGGAACGCAGTTCCTCACCAGCAACGGAACAAAGCTGGATGGAGAATGACTTTGACGAGCTGAGAGAAGAAGGCTTCAGACGATCAAATTACTCTGAGCTACGGGAGGACATTCAAACCAAAGGCAAAGAAGTTGAAAACTTTGAAAAAAATTTAGAAGAATGTATAACTAGAATAACCAATACAGAGAAGTGCTTAAAGGAGCTGATGGAGCTGAAAACCAAGGCTCGAGAACTACGTGAAGAATGCAGAAGCCTCAGGAGCCAATGCGATCAACTGGAAGAAAGGGTATCAGCGATGGAAGATGAAA
Organism: Homo sapiens; assembly: GCF_000001405.40. Taxonomy (NCBI): domain Eukaryota; kingdom Metazoa; phylum Chordata; class Mammalia; order Primates; family Hominidae; genus Homo; species Homo sapiens. Next base: position 31,448,160 of record NC_000010.11, on the reverse strand, counting down.
TGAATGAAATGAAGCGAGAAGGGAAGTTTAGAGAAAAAAGAATAAAAAGAAATGAGCAAAGCCTCCAAGAAATATGGGACTATGTGAAAAGACCAAATCTACATCTGATTGGTGTACCTGAAAGTGATGGGGAGAATGGAACCAAGTTGGAAAACACTCTGCAGGATATTATCCAGGAGAACTTCCCCAATCTAGCAAGGCAGGCCAACATTCAGATTCAGGAAATACAGAGAACGCCAAAAAGATACTCCTCAAGAAGAGCAACTCCAAGACACATAATTGTCAGATTCACCAAAGTTGAAATGAAGGAAGAAATGTTAAGGGCAGCCAGAGAGAAAGGTCGGGTTACCCTCAAAGGGAAGCCCATCAGACTAACAGCTGATCTCTCGGCAGAAACCCTACAAGCCAGAAGAGTGGGGGCCAATATTCAACATTCTTAAAGAAAAGAATTTTCAACCCAGAATTTCATATCCAGCCAAACTAAGCTTCATAAGTGAAGGAGAAATAAAATCCTTTACACACAAGCAAATGCTGAGAGATTTTGTCACCAGCAGGCCTGCCCTAAAAGAGCTCCTGAAGGAAGCACTAAACATGGAAAGGAACAACCGGTACCAGCCGCTGCAAAATCATGCCAAAATGTAAAGACCATCGAGACTAGGAAGAAACTGCATGAACTAACGAGCAAAATCACCTGCTAACATCATAATGACAGGATCAAATTCACACATAACAATATTAACTTTAAATGTAAATGGACTAAATTCTCCAATTAAAAGACACAGACTGGCAAATTGGATAAAGAGTCAAGACCCATCAGTGTGCTGTATTCAGGAAACCCATCTCACGTGCAGAGACACACATAGGCTCAAAATAAAAGGATGGAGGAAGATCTACCAAGCAAATGGAAAATTAAAAAAGGCAGGGGTTGCAATCCTAGTCTCTGATAAAACAGCCTTTAAACCAATAAAGATCAAAAGAGACAAAGAAGGCCATTACATAATGGTAAAGGGATCAATTCAACAAGAAGAGCTAACTATCCTAAATATATATGCACCCAATACAGGAGCACCCAGATTCATAAAGCAAGTCCTGAGTGACCTACAAAGAGACTTAGACTCCCACACATTAATAATGGGAGACTTTAACACCCCACTGTCAACATTAGACAGATCAACGAGACAGAAAGTCAACAAGGATACCCAGGGAATTGAACTCAGCTCTGAACCAAGCAGACCTAATAGACATCTACAGAACTCTCCACCCCAAATCAAAAGAATATACATTTTTTTCAGCACCACACCACACCTATTCCAAAATTGACCACATACTTGGAAGTAAAGCTCTCCTCAGCAAATGTAAAAGAACAGAAATTGTAACAAACTATCTCTCAGACCACAGTGCAATCAAACTAGAACTCAGGATTAAGAATCTCACTCAAAGCTGCTCAACTACATGGAAACTGAACAACCTGCTCCTGAATGACTACTGGGTACCTAACGAAATGAAGGCAGAAATAAAGATATTCTTTGAAACCAACGAGAACAAAGACACAACATACCAGAATCTCTGGGACGCATTCAAAGCAGTGTGTAGAGGGAAATTTATAGCACTAAATGCCCACAAGAGAAAGCAGGAAAGATCCAAAATTGACACCCTAACATCACAATTAAAAGAACTAGAAAAGCAAGAGCAAACACATTCAAAAGCTAGCAGAAGGCAAGAAATAACTAAAATCAGAGCAGAACTGAAGGAAATAGAGAGACAAAAAACCCTTCAAAAAATCAATGAATCCAGGAGCTGGTTTTTTGAAAGGATCAACAAAATTGATAGACCACTAGCAAGACTAATAAAAAAAGAGAGAAGAATCAAATAGACGCAATAAAAAATGATAAAGGGGATATCACCACCGATCCCACAGAAATACAAACTACCATCAGAGAATACTACAAACAGCTCTATGCAAATAAACTAGAAAATCTAGGAGAGATGGATACATTCCTCGACACATACACTCTCCCAAGACTAAACCAGGAAGAAGTTGAATCTCTGAATAGACCAATAACAGGATCTGAAATTGTGGCAATAATCAATAGTTTACCAACCAAAAAGAGTCCAGGACCAGATGGATTCACAGCCGAATTCTACCAGAGGTACAAGGAGGAACTGGTACCATTCCTTCTGAAACTATTCCAATCAATAGAAAAAGAGGGAATCCTCCCTAACTCATTTTATGAGGCCAGCATCATTCTGATACCAAAGCCTGGCAGAGACACAACCAAAAAAGAGAATTTTAGACCAATATCCTTGATGAACATTGATGCAAAAATCCTCAATAAAATACTGGCAAACCGAATCCAGCAGCACATCAAAAAGCTTATCCACCATGATCAAGTGGGCTTCATCCCTGGGATGCAAGGCTGGTTCAATATACGCAAATCAATAAATGTAATCCAGCATATAAACAGAGCCAAAGACAAAAACCACATGATTATCTCAATAGATGCAGAAAAAGCCTTTGACAAAATTCAACAACACTTCATGCTAAAAACTCTCAATAAATTAGGTATTAATGGGACGTACTTCAAAATAATAAGAGCTATCTATGACAGACCCACAGCCAATATCATACTGAATGGGCAAAAACTGGAAGCATTCCCTTTGAAAACTGGCACAAGACAGGGATGCCCTCTCTCACCGCTCCTATTCAACATAGTGTTGGAAGTTCTGGCCAGGGCAATTAGGCAGGAGAAGGAAATAAAGGGTATTCAATTAGGAAAAGAGGAAGTCAAATTGTCCCTGTTTGCAGACAACATGATTGTATATCTAGAAAACCCCATTGTCTCAGCCCAAAATCTCCTTAAGCTGATAAGCAACTTCAGCAAAGTCTCAGGATACAAAATCAATGTACAAAAATCACAAGCATTCTTATACACCAACAACAGACAAACAGAAAGCCAAATCATGAGTGAACTCCCATTCACAATTGCTTCAAAGAGAATAAAATACCTAGGAATCCAACTTACAAGGGACGTGAAGGACCTCTTCAAGGAGAACTACAAACCACTGGTCAAGGAAATAAAAGAGGATACAAACAAATGGAAGAACATTCCATGCTCATGGATAGGAAGAATCAATATCGCGAAAATGGCCATACTGCCCAAGGTAATTTACAGATTCAATGCCATCCCCATCAAGCTACCAATGACTTTCTTCACAGAATTGGAAAAAAACTACTTTAAAGTTCATATGGAACCAAAAAAGAACCTGCATCGCCAAGTCAATCCTAAGCCAAAAGAACAAAGCTGGAGGCATCACACTACCTGACTTCAAACTATACTACAAGGCTACAGTAACCAAAACAGCATGGTACTGGTACCAAAACAGAGATATAGATCAATGGAACAGAACAGAGCCCTCAGAAATAACGCCGCATACCTACGACTATCTGATCTTTGACAAACCTGAGAAAAACAAGCAATGGGGAAAGGATTCCCTATTTAACAAATGGTGCTGGGAAAACTGGCTAGCCATATGTAGAAAGCTGAAACTGGATCCCTTCCTTACACCTTATACAAAAATCAATTCAAGATGGATTAAAGATTTAAACTTTAGACCTAAAACCATAAAAACCCTAGAAGAAAACCTAGGCATTACCATTCAGGACATAGGCATGGGCAAGGACTTCATGTCTAAAACACCAAAAGCAATGGCAACAGAAGACAAAATTGACAAATGGGATCTCATTAAACTAAAGAGCTTCTGCACAGCAAAAGAAACTACCATCAGAGTGAACAGGCAACCTACAAAATGGGAGAAAATTTTTGCAACCTACTCATCTGACAAAGGGCTAATATCCAGAATCTACAATGAACTCAAACAAATTTACAAGAAAAAAACAAACAACCCCATCAAAAAGTGGGTGAAGGACATGAACAGACACTTCTCAAAAGAAGACATTTATGCAGCCAAAAAACACATGAAAAAATGCTCATCATCACTAGCCATCAGAGAAATGCAAATCAAAACCACTATGAGATACCATCTCACACCAGTTAGAATGGCAGTCATTAAAAAGTCAGGAAACAACAGGTGCTGGAGAGGATGTGGAGAAATAGGAACACTTTTACACTGTTGGTGGGACTGTAAACTAGTTCAACCATTGTGGAAGACAGTGTGGCGATTCCTCAGGGATCTAGAACTAGAAATACCATTTGACCCAGCCATCCCATTACTGGGTATATACCCAAAGGACTATAAATCATGCTGCTATAAAGACACATGCACACGTATGTTTATTGCGGCACTATTCACGATAGCAAAGACTTGGAGCCAACCCAAATGTCCAACAATGATAGACTGGATTAAGAAAAGGTGGCACATATACACCATGGAATACTATGCAGCGATAAAAAATGATGAGTTCATGTCCTTTGTAAGGACATGGATGAAATTGGAAATCATCATTCTCAGTAAACTATCGCAAGAACAAAAAACCAAACACCGCATATTCTCACTCATAGGTGGGAATTGAACAATGAGAGCACATGGACACAGGAAGGGGAATATCACACTCTGGGGACTGTTGTGGGGTGGGGGGAGGGGGGAGGGATAGCATTGGGAGATATACCTAATGCTAGATGACGAGTTAGTGGGTGCAGCGCACCAGCATGGCACATGTATACGTATGTAACTAACCTGCACAATGTGCACATGTACCCTAAAACTTAAAGTATAATAAAAAAAAAAAAGAAGAAAATATAGGCAAATCCTTTTACAAACCTGGAATAAGAAGGCCATTATAAGCATGAAATGAAACCCATAACTATACACAGAAAAAAATCAAGTCAAAAGACAAACGACAAATTGTGAAAAATATGTGCAACACATATGACTAAAGGCTGACATCTTTATTTTACAGAGAATTCTTAAACACTCATAAGATGAACCACCCAGTAAGAATATGCACAAGCAATTCGCACACACAAAAATGAATGCCCAATAAACATGTAAAAAGATGCTCAACCTCAGTAACAGAAGAAATATCCATTTTAATCTTATATTTTTATAATCACTTCTCACGTACACTCTCAACTTTCTTGCTCTCTCTGGCTTCAAAATCTCTATGCTGGCTAATCTCTTACCTTGATTAAACTCCAGCACTCCTAATTCTATATCTCAGTCCCTCTATACTTCAAAGCTTTTTGGAAAAGTTGCCTACATGTGTCTCTAATTTGTTTCTTCCTATTTTATCTTAAATTACTCCAATTACAACACTCCACCAACACTGTTCTTGTCATGACTGTGAGCACTGCTAAATGCAATGACAATTATCAGTCCTCATTTGACTTGATCTTTTAGCAGCATTTGACATAATTCATTACTCTCTCCTTTTCAAAACAATCTCTTCTCTTGACTCTATCAGTTTCCTCTTAACTCACCAACTGCTTCTTTTTCGTTTCTTTCCTCCACTTCCTCAATCTGTTTCATGGCTCTAAATGCCATTTGTTGACTCCCAGTTTTATATCCCAGGTGACTTCTCCTATGAATCCCAAATTATCTACTTGATAGCTCCACTTGGATTTCTTTTTTTTTTATTATTATTATTATACTTTTAAGTTCTAGGGTACATGTGCACAACGTGCAACTTTGTTACATATGTATACATGTGCCATGTTGGTATGCTGCACCCATTAACTTGTCATTTACATTAGGTGTATCTCCTAACGCTATCCCTCCCCCCTACCCCCATGCCACGACAGACCCCGGTGTGTGATGTTCCCCACCCTGTGTCCAAGTGTTCTCATTGTTCAATTCCCACCTAAGAGTGAGAACGTACAGTGTTTGGTTTTTTGTCCTTGCGATAGTTTGCTGAGAATGATGGTTTCCAGCTTCATCCATGTCCCTACAAAGGACATGAACTCATCATTTCTTATGGCTGCATAGTATTCCATGGTGTATATGTGCCACCTTTTCTTAAACCAGTCTATCACTGATGGACATTTGGGTTGGTTCCAAGTCTTTGCTATCGTGAATAGTGCCGCAATCAACATACATGTGCATGTGTCTTTATAGCAGCATGATTTATAATCCTTTGGGTATATACCCAGTAATGGGATGGCTGGGTCAAATGGTATTTCTAGTTCTAGATCCTTGAGGAATCGCCACACTGTCTTCCACAATGGTTGAACTAGTTTACAGTCCCACCAACAGTGTAAAAGTGTTCCTATTTCTCCACATCCTCTCCAGTACCTGTTGTTTCCTGACTTTTTAATGATTGCCATTCTAACTGGTGTGAAATGGTATCTCATTGTGGTTTTGATTTGCATTTCTCTGATGGCCAGTGATAATGAGCATTTTTTCATGTGTCTTTTGGTTGCATAAATAAATGTCTTCTTTTGAGAAGTGTCTGTTCATATCCTTCACCTACTTTTTGATGGGGTTGTTTTTTTCTTGTAAATTTGTTTGAGTTCATTGTAGATTCTGGATATTAGCCCTTTGTCAAATGTGTAGATTGCAAAAATTTTTTCCCATTCTGTAGGTTGCCTGTTCACTCTGATGGTAGTTTCTTTTGCTGTGCAGAAGCTCTTTAGTTTAATTAGATCCCATTTGTCAATTTTGGCTTTTGTTGCCATTGCTTTTGCTGTTTTAGACATGAAGTCCTTGCCCGTGCCTATGTCCTGAATGGTATTGCCTAGGTTTTCTTCTAGGGTTTTTATGGTTTCAGGTCTAACATTTCAATCTTTAATCCATCTTGAATTAATTTTTGTATCAGGTGTAAGGAAAGGATCCAGTTTCAGCTTTCCACATATGGCTAGTCAGTTTTCCCAGCACCATTTATTAAACAGGAAATTCTTTCCCCATTTCTTCTTTTTGTCAGGTTTGTCAAACATCAGATGGTTGTAGATGTGTGGCATTATTTCTGAGGCCTCTGTTCTGTTCCATTGGTCTATATCTCTGTTTTGGTACCAGTACCATGCTGTTTTGGTTACTGTTGCCTTGTAGTATAGTTTGAAGTCAGGTAGTGTGATGCCTCCAGCTTTGTTCTTTTGGCTTAGGATTGTCTTGGCAATGTGGGCTCTTTTTTGGTTCCATATGAACTTTAAAGTAGTTTTTTCCAATTCTGTGAAGAAAGTCATTGGTAGCTTGATGGGGATGGCATTGAATCTATAAATTACCTTGGGCAGTATGGCCATTTTCACGATATTGATTCTTCCTATCCATGAGCATGGAATGTTCTTCCATTTGTTTGTATCCTCTTTTATTTCCTTGACCAGTGGTTTGTAGTTCTCCTTGAAGAGGTCCTTCACGTCCCTTGTAAGTTGGATTTCTAGGTATTTTATTCTCTTTGAAGCAATTGTGAATGGGGGTTCACTCATGATTTGGCTTTCTGTTTGTCTGTTATTGGTGTATAAGAATGCTTGTGATTTTGCCCATAGATTTTGTATCCTGAGACTTTGCTGAAGTTGCTTATCAGCTTAAGGAGATTTTGGGCTGAGACAATGGGGTTTTCTAAATATACAATCATGTCATCTGCAAACAGGGACAATTTGACTCCCTCTTTTCCTAACTGAATACACTTTATTTCCTTCTCCTGCCTGATTGTCCTGGCCAGAATTTCCAACAATATGTTGAATAGGAGTGGTGAGAAAGGGCACCCCTGTCTTGCGCCAGTTTTCAAAGGGAATGCTCCCAATTTTTGCCCATTCAGTATGATATTGGTTGTGGATTTGTCATAAATAGCTCTTATTATTTTGAGATACGTCCCATCAATACCTAATTTATTGAGAGTTTTTAGCATGAAGGGCTGTTGAATTTTGTCAAAGGCCTTTTCTGCATCTATTGAGATAATCATGTGGCTTTTGTCTTTGGTGATATCACCACTTGGATTTCTAATGGGAAATTTTTTACCATAGCCAAATACAATTCCTGGTCTCTCAGTCTTCTCTATTTCAGTAAACGGCAATTCCATTCCTCCAGTTGTTCAGGCCAAAAGTCTCAGTGATAGTTTTGACTCCTCTTTTTCTCTCATATCCCATGCATCTACTCTGGAAGGAAATACCTATAAAAATATATTCAAGATCTGACCACCCACTACCAATTCCCTGCCACTAACTACCTGATGGTACCATCATCTCTCACTTCGAGTACTGTCACTGGTTCCTATCTGGTCTCCGTGCTGCCACCTTTGTCTTCCTGTAGTCAGTTCTCAACACAGCAGACAAAACCTTCTAAAGCATCAGTGGAATCTTGTCAAACCATCTAATGACTTCCCATCCTATTCACTGTAATCCAAGGCCCTCCATGGGCTGACTCTCCTCACCTGTCTCTCTCAGACTTTGTCTTCTACTTTACCCCGGCTCACTGCATTCCAGGTATACTGGCCTCTTGCTTCATATCACTCTACCTGTAATATTCTTTATGAACTGCCCAATTCCACCTCCTCAGGGAGGTCTCCTATGACTGCTCTATTTAAATACCACCCCCACCCCCATTGCACTCCCTATTCTCCCTCAATTTATTTCTTTTAAAAATACTTGTCACTATAATATCTTATTGATTGATTATCTACTACACTACAATGCAAGTTCCATTCAGACAGGAATTTTTTCTGTTTCGATCACCACTGTTCCCCTCATCTAGAACACTGGCTGTAGATACTAATCCCTAGATAAATGATGTTTAGTAAATCGGCAAAAAAGTCCCAGTAACGCCTGACATATGCAAGGTTTAAATAAAAGAGTACACTCTTATATGCTGTGTTACTTTGGCAATATTTATCAAAATTTAAAATGCCGACCTGTTGATCTAACAATTTCTTGGCACCGTGCAAATTAACACATGTATGCAAATATGCATACATATGTTTATCTGAAAACTTGTTTTTAATTACAAAAAAACCTTAATAGTCATCTAAGATATATTGTTTGGTACTGATATAGAAAGTCTTCCAAAATAGTTTGATTCCATCCTTCCAGAAAATACAGTAGATGCAGTATAGTATCCATACTATACATGTGCCTTAACATCAATTCATGATGTCTAGGACATACAAATGAGGAAATCAGGTACCAAAGGAGTGACTTGTTTTTCTGGCTTATTCCTTTGATATTATTTTAATGTTTATATTACTTTAAAAAAATTTTAAAGATATATTTTAAATGTGCAAAGAAAAAGCCAAATAATTTTCAGCATAATGTTGCTAGTGGCAAACTTTAGAAAACTGAACTGGGATTGGGCAAAATATTTGCTGGCTCTCTATGTATGCATGTATGTACGTATGTATATGTGTATATTTCTATAGATGTATGTATATTTTAGACACGAGGTCTCACTCTGTCACCCAGGCTGGAGCGCAGTGGCATGATCGTAGCTCACTGCACCTGTGTACTGCTAGGCTCAAGCGATCCTCTGTGCCTTAGTCTGTCAAGTAGCTGGGACTAAAGGCCTGTGCCACCACACCCAGGTAATTTAAAGAAAATTTTTTTTTTATAGAGACAGGGTCTCACTATGTTGCCTATGGTGGTCTTGAGCCCCTGGCCTCAAGCAATCCTCCGGCTTGGCCTTCCAAAGTGTTAGGATTACTGGTATGTGCCACTGCACCCAGCTCTCTTCCTTAACATTTTTATGTTATTTGAATTTGTTATCACGGTGAATAGGAGGTATAATTAAAAACACTAATCAGGATACTGAAATAAAATCTAAAGAATAATGAAAGGTAAAAAGGACATTTATTAGTTGATGAATACTATGTTGTAAATAAATATCTGTGGATTTTGAAATAAAACAATTTTTATTTTATGGTTTTATGAGACAATAATAAGATCTATTTTCTTATTTTTGAAAGATAGTAGTCTATTTAAAGTATGAAAAACATTTACCTTTCCTATTCATGGCTACATAACATTATATAAAATGAAAAGGAAGGTAATACTTGCTGAACACCAGCACAAGTGACTTCTCCTTCCAGCTAGTGCTGAGGGAAGCTGCTCTCTTACTGCACAGACGCCAGGAGGGAGGCCTCGTGGAGAGCGCACGCTTTCACTTGTCAAGGGCAATGAGCATCCCCAAAGTACAGGTTATAGTATCTCACATACACCCAAACACACAGTCAATTATTTAAATAGTTTCAACCACAGGAGTTGGCATGATTTTCAGCTTTTCTCATCTTATGAAAAAATTTTAAGAAATATTTTGACATTTACTAATCCCAGAAGGTAATTCTCCTTTGATTGGCTTTGAGGCTTATCGATTAGTAGCAGAACTGGTTGTGAAAAATAAGATGAAGGAAGAGGACAAGAATTACATTCTAATTCATTTTATTTGGTTCTCCAAGATTCCTTCAAACTAGTAATGCTGTATGTGTAATTTAAAACTCCTGACCATGGGAAGAGAAATCATAGGAAAAGTGAAAAGAAAAAGATCATGAACCCCAAGGATGTAGTTTGAGGACGGATCCTCCCTTACTTCCATGGGAATGACAACATATAGTAATCTAAGTAAGGCTTATTGGTTGCCAACTAGGAGACTTCCTTTCTGGGAGCTTTCCTGAGAGCCAAATTTCAACATGGGACACTAATTCCCTGAGCCTAGTTTTGTAAAGAAAGTCTTTCTACTCCTTCATTGGAAAGACATGAAAGAACAAGGGGGATAATTAATGAAATTTTAATTGGAATTTATTTCCTGATGAAGTATTAAAAACAAACAATTTATAGGTAACTAGAGTTTAGTTTTACTGAGCTTTTCTAAGCATTATAATATGTTACAAGCTTGAGTTGTCAAATTAGAATGAATAATTTAGTTCCTCTGACTTAAGTGCTTCAGAAGATAGGAGAATGAAGACATTTAATATCTAGTCTCCACCTCTGAGATATACGTAATCTTTGCAAATATGAGTAATATACATGAAGTATTATATAGAGAAATGTCATAGTACATAATTAAATGCTAAATTAAAAGTGATGCAGAAAATAAATACTATAAGAATCCTTACCTAATTATATTAATCTCTCTTTTATGCCTTGCTAATGTGCAACAGAGGTAAAATTGAGTATTTTGTTTCTTTGTTATTTAAAATATATTGTTGGGAAGTTAAATAAATTTGAACTGTAGTACCAAAAAATCCTGATGTTTTGTTTTACCTAAGTTACCTGAGTAGCAGTGTGAATTAAAATCATCTGTGGACATAACTTATTCCAGAAAATAAATAATATCCAATAAAGCAGAAGATCATGCAAACTAACTACCCATTTTCTTATATAAACTTTTTGGAGAATAAGTGGGCTTTGTGATGAAAGAAGTGGACATTCTTGGAAAACACAAACAAATAGAAAATTTAATACCATATATAAAAATGAAGTGGGAAATAGGTATTTTAAACGTACTTTAAAGAAATTATGACCTGTCACATTTCTACTACTGATATATAGAAAAGCTTACAACCAATGCTCCTCGTATACTTCTGCACCCTGCTTCAACCCTGATCCACAAAGTGCTTATTACATATTCAGTGCTTTATATGCACTGAATCCATTAATCCTTACAGAAGCCACTTGAAGAATTTTTATTATCCTTATTTTATAGACAATGAAACTAAGACTTAGATTACATAACTTGCCAAAGGTTGACCAGTTAGTACTGGTAACCAGGACTGTACCCTAGGCCATGTGGCTCCGGACATGCTCTGAACAGGTTACTGTGCTGTCTCTCCAAAGACAGCAGAAGAGTAGAGCCCATAAATGAAAAAAAAGTCCTTACAAAAAAACAAAACAGAATAAAAGTGTGGTTCCCAATGAATTATTAAAGACTTCATTGACAAGTACTTAATCAAATCTTTCTGAACTTCTCAGAATCTAAGATGATAAAACTTAAAGCACCCTTATTATTCTCCTTTACTTCAGAATGAAAATGAAGGACATACATAATAATCACAAAACTTCAGGTCAAGAGATTGTTTTGTTCTCTTGATTCGAAATTTCAGATGGCTCTCCATTGCATATGCCATAAATTCCAAACTCCCATACATGGCGAATAAGGGTCTCCCGACTGCATACATTATCGCTTAAACAATCTCTTCATCTTCACTTGCTACTGTTCTGCAAAGTATATTCAATTTCCCAGACATCCTGAACTTTCATGCTTCTGCTATGTATTCTTCCTCTTCTCTAGGGGCAAATTCCTACTCATCTTTTGGAACTCATATCCCGTCTATCATCAACAATCCTCTCCAGGCACCAATGCCACTAGTTTGCTTCCGCCTGTAAACTTCCTCCTCAGGACTACAATACCATGTCATTGGTCCCTTGTTTCCATTTACCACACAGCAGCCGGGGTGATCTTTCAAAAATGTAAAGCAAAATGTATCACTCTCCTTCTTAAAACCTTTCAATGGCTTTCCATTGTTCCATCATTCCTGCAAGGCTCCACATTTTTGGGCCTGCACCTTTTCCACTATTCTATTCATTCTCGCTAAATGACCTGTTTTTGTTCTTTGTAAATGGCAAGCCTTCTCTACTCCATGCCCCTACACTTGCCTTTCCCTTGGCCTGAGATTCTGTTTCCAACTCCACACAGCTGGGTCTTTCTTTTCCACTCCAGTGTCATAGTTCCAAAGAAGACTTCCATGATCACCTAAACCAACATGCTTTATCCTTTACTCTTTCACATCATCCTATTTCCTTCAAAGCATCCATCGTAGTTTGTAATTATCTTGTTTAGTTACTTGTTTACTTTCTTTTACTCTGTATTAGTTTTCTATTGTTGATGTAACAAACTGACATATCCCTAAGAGGCTTAAAATAGCATACATTTATTATTTCACAATTAGATGCCCAATATGGGTCTCACTGGACTAAAATCAAGATGTTGGCAGAACTGTGTTCTTTCTGGAGACTCTAGGGGAGAATCCACTTTCCTGCCTTTTCCAGCTTGTAGAGGCTGCTGCATTCCTTGGCACATGGCCCCTTCCATCTTCAAAGCCAGAAATGGCCAGTTGAAACTTTCTCATGTCGCATCATTCTGCCACTGACCCTTCTTCAAACTCCAGCTTCCACTTTTAACATTGCATTTTGCCTAGCCACATAACCCGAAGTAATCTCCCTATTCCTTTGCTACTTAATAATCTTTTTTTAAGTAATGTAACATATTCACAGGTTTTAGGGATTAGGACATGGACATATTTGGGAGGCCACTATCCTACCTACCACACTCCCCCACTAAAATGTAAGCTCCATGAGGGCAAGGACATCATTTTGTTCCCTCCAGTAGTCTAAATTCCAAGCTTTACAGGGCATAACAAAGGCATATAAGACATCTGTTGAACTAATGAACAAACTAAAACACTGCTGCTTTATTGATGCTCTTCTTGACCTTTCCTGACTCTTGTTCTTTGCGCTTTTGTATTATTTTTTATTCCGCTACAATAGTGACTATATCCCTTCATGTTTACATTATGTTCACATCTATCATTAGGTCTTTGGTCAAGTGTTCAGTGTTCTGATCATGTGTCAGTAAAGGATTAAGTGTTATGAAAAATGTATTGACTCAACGAATTTTAAAATGAAAGGGACATAAAGTTTCAAAAAGTTTATGTTAATGATTTGGTAATTGTTTTTATGGCTTCCTAATAAAATTCAGAGTATTCTGATAATGTGTCAATAAAGGGTTATCCTGCTGTGAAATATATGTTTATTTAATGAATTTTAAGCCTGGTTAAGCATCTGAAGATATGTCTCAGCTTCGTATTTTATACTTGAGAAAACTGAAATCCAAATAAGTTAAGTAATTTATCTAGTTATATAAAAATTGTGAGCTGGCACTAATTCCAGTTAACTTTCTATAAAACCTACCTCCTAAGGTTACCATGAAGATTCCGTGAATGCATTTAAAAGCACATAAACACAGTGCCCAGCACATAGCAGTGCTTTATAGTGGGGGCACAGATGCTTTATTGGCATGATCATTATTCTAAACATTACATATTGCCCACTTATCAACAACAAAAATAACTTATGCAAAATAGTTAATAAATAATTGCTGAATCAAAGAATGATTTTAAAAGTAACATGGTTAAATAATTTTTAACATGCTAATTGCTTTCCTACTTTTATTTTTATAGAAAAAAGCAGGTAAAGAAAAATAAAGTAGGGCATGCATATTACATTGATCTTTATCATGGAGTCTTCTTTAACTTATTTGAACTAAAAGCAATTTCTTTCCTCCATTATTGTCTTTTCAGCAAGGTCAAAACCATTTTTATAATAATACTAAGGCAGTACTTGCCCTTTTCACTTCTTTGGCATTTGCACTGATGATACAAAGACAATGGTAGGTCAAACTGTTGGCATCTTAGCACTTACCAAGGCAGCAGCAGCAAACTATATCCTTGTAGCCCTCACTGCCACTCATTTCCAGTTAAAAAATTTGCCAGTTTCACTTAAGTACATCCTTGATGAAGTAGTAAAAATTACTTTAATAAGTTTTGACCCTGTAGTGTATGTCTTTTTAGTGTTCTGTACAACAAAATGGGATGTATACACAAAACACTTCTGCTGGACATCAAAGTATAACAGATGTCTTATGGAAAATCACTCCTGGAATTAAGTTGCTACCGAAGTAGCTGCTTTTTTCATGGTACATCTATTTAACTTGAAAGAATAACCAACTGACAAACAATGGTTATTCAGGTTTGAGTATTTGGCAGATATTTTCTCAAAAATAAGCCAAATAAGCCTGTCATTTAAAGGAAGACAAATTGGCCAAATTTGTTGCCAATAAAATTTGAGCTTTCAGATGTAAATGAGAATTTTGGAAAACATGTTAACTGCAGCTGAGTTGAATTTTGCAATTTCCTAATTTTGAAGACCCTTCTGAAGAGATTGGTGCTGCTATTAGTGATTTTTTGATTGGGTAAAATGGAATGTGTCAACATTTGGAAGATCTGGACAATTCAGTGAACCAATATCTTCCAAATAACTAATGCATGATGTTGCAAATTAGTAAGTGGGTAAAAGGCCCACTCAAAGTTCAAGAGAGCAGTGATTTTTTAATGTAACTATAAAATTCATTGATATGGTTTTATATTTTACATCACAACTAAACTTTAAGAAACTGCTACTTGGTGAGTTTTGGTAATCAAAGAATATCCACAATTATCTAAAAAGGCTAATTCCAACTAACTATCTATGTGAGGTTAGGTTTTAATACAGTTCAACACATTGCAACAGCTAGAATATAGAAGCAGATATGAGAATTCAACTGCCTTCTATTAACCCACACATTAAAGAGATTTGTAAACATGTAAAACAATGCCACTCTTTTTTAAAAATAGCTTTTCCTCAAAGATATTTTATGTTAACATGTAGTAACTTTAAGAATGAATAAATATTTAAAATTTTTCTATTTTTAATGCTGTAAATATCAGTAAATATAACCCACATAGTCAAAAGCACTCTGGGGCCGTAAATCACTTTTAAATGAAGGGTTCCTGAGACAAGCATCTTTTGAGAATTGTAGAATTTAATAAGGTTAGCCACTAATCAAATGTATCTATTCACACTGAATTAAAAAAAAATTGAGACAGGGTATTGCGCTCTGTTGCTCACGCTGGAGTGCAGTGGCATGATCACAGCTCATTGCAGCCTCAACCTTCCAGGCTCAAGACATCCTCCTTCCTCAGCCTCCTGAGTAGCTGGGACCACAGGCACACAGTACCACACCTGGCTAATTTTTAAATTTTCTGTAGAGACAGGGTTTTGCCATATTGCCAAGGCTAGTCTCAAACTCCTGGGCTTAAGCAATCCACCTGCCTTGGCCTCCCAAACTGCTAGGATTACAGGTGTGAGCCACCATGTCTATCCTTAAATTAGTTAATTAAATTTCTAAATAAAATATAAAATTAAATTCCTCATTCATACAGCATACATTTCAAGTGCTCAAATAACCACAGGTAGCCAGTGGCTATTAGATAAAATAGAGAACATTTCTTTCATCCAAGAAAGTTCTACCGGACAGTGTTGGTCTATACTATATTCTGAAGGTAGTTATTAGCACTTACTAAGTATCACTGGTATTATTCTTTCAGTATTTTATCATATCTTTGTTAACTCCTTAAAAAGAACATATGCTTTTTGAGGGCAGTAACCAGAATACTGATATCTGTATCCACATACACATGATATTTCAATATATTCCTGTCCAAATTTACAACCACCAAGTCTCCACCTTTTCTGTTCTTACGTGTTTAAAATAAACTGTTTTGTCAATGAATTAATGTTTATGTTGCTTCATTTCACGTTTTCATAAAGATTTAAAGACAATCCTTTTATCTGTTAGTTATACTACGTAGGTCTTACAGTTATAATTAAGAATTTTCAAGTTTTCCTGTGAGTTCTGTACATCTGATTGAAAGTAATGTTTTCATTAAAGTATTAAAATTATTCCATTAGATTATATCCATAAATAATAAAATGATTAAATTTATCTTGAGTGAATTAGTAGCACCTAGGTTCAGAGGATTTTATTTTCTGTATGGCCTTTGTAGGGTTTCTAACTTTTTGAAGTGTGATTTAATAACCCTTATATCCCACTAAAAGTAGGATGCGGAGTTTAAAAAAGCTTATTAAAACTAAAATTTAAAATAAATTTTGTTTATGCTTCTGAGATTTTTACATACTAGGATCCCTGCAACATACTCTGGGATGTAAAAATACTAGGCATGTCCTGTAGTGATATATCTGCCCTCTATTACTCCTCATACAATAGAGATTTATAGTATAATGAATGATTGCTTCTTGGCCTTTTGGCTAAGATCAAGTGTATAGTATAATGAATGCTGCTTCTTATTTCCAGTTTAGTTTAAGGCAATGCTCCCTGGCAGGCAAGGCCACATTTATAGGAAGGAAAATAACAGGAGAGGTATGTGGACTTCTGGTCAGGCACTTTTCTGGTCAACAACAAAGATATGTACCTGGAACTAGGTGAGAGATTAGCTGCTTATATATACACCCAAGCTCTCTGCCAGTTTAGGGTTGTGGATCAACCCCTCCACATACCCCAATAGTTCCTTTTGGAAACAGAAGAAAATTTTTCCTTTTAAAGTTTTATTCTGGGTGAAAAAACCAGAAACATGATCCATAAAACAAATACACTCTTTGTACTGATTTAAGCAGTACTGATTTGGGCCTTACAAAATCATCCCTCCATGCAAAAAGACTGTATACTGTAAGTTGAATCATAGGATTTTATTTCTTCAATGAAAGTAAGTAAAAATAACTGCTATTTAAATGAAGTAATTTTTGTAAATTGTAAACTTTATATTACACTAGCTTCTAAAGCCTCTGTTTTCAATTTTGTCTTGCTATGTAAGTTCATTCTAAACAATTTTGTTTCTGTAGCTAAAAAGGCTTATAATCTAAATATATTTCCATAGACTGATTTATTTCCTATATAAATTATGTGTGTAAATGTGTAGCAATTTATTTCCAAAGTAACATTAATCTTAAGCTAAGCTTAAAAATTTTACATTGTATTAGCAGTGGTAGAAATTATTTTTATTAAAGTAAATTCAAAGTTCATAGTTCAAATAGGATTACATTTTAACATGGCAAAATTAGGAAATTTAGATAAAGGCCATATTACTAAGTAACTATTAAACTGAAAAAAGACAATATTTAATAAGTTCTAGTCATGTCTGCAGGTAGTGGCAGTCTAAGATGCTAAGTTTAAAGGCAGTGTTTGGTTTGCAAAAGGAAGCAGTTTCTTGTATTTTCCTCACATATAATGGGAGAATAATAACTACTTATAAGATTTTTTAAGGACTGAATGAGCAATTTATATAAACTGCCTATCTCAGTAACTAATTAACAGATGACCCTATAAGCTACCACTACACAGTTTCCCCAGTACACAAACACACACAGTTTACCCTGAATTCATTCTAACAGTCTATACCTTAACTAGTACGAAATCTTAAATTGCCTACGATTACAAACATCATTTACAAGTTTAATAAGAAATTCAAAAGATTTATATTTCAAAATCATATGCAATTATATACAAAGAACATAAAAAACAGAATGTCAGAATCTTATATCAATCCTTCCCTCAAGTAAAAGTTCTGCCTATGGCTGGGCGTGGTGGCTCACGCCTGTAATCTCAGCACTTTGGGAGGCCAAGGCGGGTGGATCACCTGACGTCAGGAGTTCGAGACCAGCCTGTCCAACATGGTGAAACCCTGTCTCTGCTAGAAATACAAAAATTAGCCAGGCATGGTGGCAGGCTGTAATCCCAGCTACTCAGGAGGCTGAGGCAGGAGAATCGCTTGAACCCAGGAGGTGGAGGTTACAGTGAGCCGAGATTATGCCATTGCACTCCAGCCTGGGGGACAAGAGTGAGACTTCGTCTCAAAAAAAAAAAAAAAAAAAAAAAAAAAGTTCTGCCTGTAAGTATTCACAACAGATTCACTGGCTTTTTTTTTTTTTTAACTTTTAAATTCAGGGGTACAAGTGCAGGTTTGTTACATAGTTAAACTTGTGTCATGAGGGTTTGTTGTGCAGATTATTTCATCACACAGGTATTAGGCCCAGTACCCATTAGTTATTTCTTCTGATCCTCTCCTTCCACCCTCCACCACTGGTAAGCCCCAGTGTCTGTTGTTCCCCTCTGTGTGCCCATGTGTTCTCATCATTTAGTTCCTACTTAACATGTGAGAACATGCAGTATGCCTGTGTTAGTTTGCTAAGGATAATGGCCTCCGAAACCCTACAAGCCAGAAGAGATTGGGAGTCAATATTCAACATTCTTAAATAAATTCTAACCCAGAATTTCATAGTTAGCCAAACTAAGCTTCATAAGTGAAGGAAAAACAAGATCCTTTTCAGACAAGCAAATGCTGAATTTGTTACCACCACATCTGCCTTACAAGAGCTCCTAAAGGAAACATTAAATAGGGAAAGGAAAGACCGTTACCAGATCCTACAAAACCATACTGAAGTACACAGACCAGTGGCACTATAAAGTCAACCACATAAACAAGTCTGCAAAGTAACTAGCTAACATCATTATGACAGCATCAAATCCACACATATCACTATTAACCTTAAATGTAAATGGGCTCAATGCCCCAATTAAAAGACACAGGATGGCAAACTGGATAAAAAACCAAGATCCAATGGTATGCTGTATTCAAGAGATCCATCTCACATGCAGTGACACACATAGGCTCAAAATAAAGGGAATGAGGAAAATCTACCAAGCTAACGGAAAACAAAACAAAACAAAAAGCAGGGGTTGCAATTCTAGTTTCTGACAAAACAGACTTTAAACCAAACAAAGATTTTAAAAAAGGCAAAGAAGGGCATTATACAATGGTAAAGGTTTACATTCAACAAGATCAAACTATCCTAAATATGTATGTGCCCAACACAGGAGCACCCAGATTCATAAAGTAACTTCTTAAGAGACCTTCAAAGAGACTGAGACTCTCATACAGTAATAGTGGGAAACTTAACACTCTACTCACAATATGAGATCACTGAGACAGAAAATTAACAAAGATATTCAGGACCTGAACTCAGCACTGGATCAAATGGACCTGATAGATATTTACAGAACTCTCCACCCAAAAACAACAGAATGTACATTCTTTTCATTGCCACATGGCACTTTCTCTCTAAAACTGCTCACATAATTGGAAGTAAAACCCTCCTCAGCAACTGTAAAAGAACTGAAATCTTAACAGTCTCTTGGACCACAGTGCAATCAAATTCAAAATCAAGACTAAGAAATTCACTCACTCATACAATTACATGGAAACTGAATAACCTACTCCTGAATGACTTTTGGGTAAATAATGAAATTAAGGACATAATAAAAAAGTTCTTTAAAACTAATGGGAACAAAGAGACAATGTACCAGAATCTCTGGGACACAGCTAAGGCAGTGTTAAGAGGGAGATTTATAGCACCAAATGCCCACATCGAAAAGATAGATCTCGAGTTAACAACCTGACATCACAACTAAAATAACTAGATAATCAAGAGCACACAAATCCCAAAGCTAGCAAAAGACAAGAAATAACCAAAATCAGAGCTGAACTGAAGGAGACAGAGACAAGAAAAAACATTCAAAAGATCAACGAATCCAGGAGCTAGTTTTTTTGAAAAAAATTAATGAAACAGACTGCTAGCTAGACAAAGACCAAAAATTCAAATAAACACAATCAGAAACAACAACAAGGGGGATATTACCACTGACCCCACAGAAATACAATCAACCATTAGAGATTCATTGCCTTTTTTTTTTTTTTGAGATGGAGTCTTGCTCAGTTGCCCAGGCTGGAGTGCAGTGGCGCAATCTCGGCTCACTGCAAGCTCCACCTCCTGGGTTCATGCCATTCTCCTGCCTCAGCCTCTCGAGTAGCTGGGACTACAGGCGCCCGCCACCACGCCCGGCTAATTTTTTTTGTTTGTATTTTTAGTAGAGATGGGGTTTCACCATGTTAGCCAGGATGGTCTGGATCTCCTGACCTCGTGATCCACCCGCCTTGGCCTCCCAAAGTGCTGGGATTACAGGCGTTGAGCCACCGCGCCTGGCCAAGATTCATTGCCTTTTAAAGCAATCAGTTCAAGCCCTATGTCTCAGACAGAGGAAAGGGAGGAAGAAATACAAGGGAGGTGGGGGGAGAGAAAGAGAGTGAGTCATAATATAATTTGAGCCCTGGTATCAACCAGGGCTCACTGAAGCTATCACTTTTCATACTTTTCAGTCCTTCCCTTTTTCGGCTTATACCTACTGAGTTGGGGTTCCAAAACAAATTATTAATTTTGAATAATTCACAAATTATGGCTAAGAATATGGCAATTAGAAGAAAGGTTTTATTTTTGCCATGCCTGGTAGAATTCTTCAGTAAGTGGTGGATTTAGCATTTATATCCAGGATACTGACTCTAGAGCTTGTGCCCTTTATCACAATGCTGTAGTAAATGCTAGCACTATTACACGTCTTTGAAATTTAACAATGGATTTTTTTTTTGAATTACGACAAGCTTGCACACACCTATATGCATCCGGGTTTTTTTTTTAAACATATTTTGATATCTTGTAAAGAGAACCCAAGAAGTAAGAGAGACTACAATGATGCAAATGGTATTTTCCTATTCTTAATAATTTAGATAAAAAAGATGATTTAAGAAGAAATTTTTTCCTACAAAGCTGTCTTCTATATTCATGGGAAGAGGTATACAATTCAAAATCTACTGCTTCAGTTATACAGAAAAACAACACCCTGAAATTGTATTTTACATATGTCTCTGATCCAGATCAATGGGAGTACCATCCAAAGCATGACTATGGAAACAAGAACTAGGGATCTATGTTATATAATCTTGCCTTTTTAGAGTAGAGGCTCACCTATGAGAGGTGTTTGTTTAGGTAGAGGGTAAATCAATTCAAACTAGAGATTTCTGTTGTAAAGGCACTATACAATCTGGCACTAGATTTTCCAGGCATCCATCCAATTACTCACAAACAGGATATGGGTGGGATTAGCTTGTGCACTAGGAACAGTCAGATCACAGGATGTCCCCAGTTGGAAAACCTAAACAACATGAGAGTTCTCTGTACTACTCTAGCGTTATAAAGTTAGACTGACTCTATAATCAGAATGTGCTATTATTCTACAGACTTTAGAGTGAGGTTACCGATATAAAACTGTCTTTTAAGAAAAGTGTCTGAGAAGGCCAAAAGGAACTACGAGTCAATGAATACCTACAGGAAGTTCTCTAAACTGTCCTCTTTTCCCCAAGTATCTCTTAACTAAGAATAGCTGTCAACCTGAGTCATGGGGGTGGGATGAGGGTAGGGGGCAGAGTAATGTTTTCTCTAGGTCACATACTTTGTATTCAACTTATAGCTTGAATCTTCAGATTGGCAACAAGTGCAACATTGGCAAATCTTACAATTCCCTTGCAATTCACAAGTTACAAAGCACTTTAACCAGAACATCCTCAGAACAACATACTGTAACATTGGTAGAGTTGGTATTATCATCACTTTTTAAGGAAAAGATATAGGAAGCTTAGTAAAGCTAAGCAAACTATTCAAATTCACACAGAGAGTAATTAGAAGAAAAGGATTAAAAACAGGTCTCTAGAGTTCTCTCCAAAGTACCATGGTACTCCAAAAATAAATTATTGCAGCGTTCTTTGAATATATCATCACACTTCATTTTTATAAAACATTTGGGCTATTTATATGTATGCATATACAACTGATACTTTCAAACAATTATACCATCCTTTCATAAACACTTGTACTCCAACTTTTTAATAAATGAAGTCAGGTCTAGAAAAATATACCCTTAAGTTCCACCAAAATATAGACTGCTGCACAATAATTTCTCAGACTTGAAAAATAAGACAAGAGGAAATCAAGAGAAAAATTAGGTTTCAAGCCAGATAGTTCAAAAACTTTAAAATGGGTGTAATTTACATAATTCAAAATTTGTGGGTGACTAATGCTAAAATCACAACTGAGTAAATGGGTCCAGTGATGAATTAGTCTAGGAAGTTTTTCATGTTGAGAAATGTGGTTAATTTTGGATTTTTTTATAAAGAATTTCTCAGGTTTATTGTAGAATATATACACAGTAATTTTTACTTTTATTTCTCTAACCTTTGTTGTCTATGAGGCCTGATTTTCTCTGCCACAGTTTTCCCAACCACGTTCTTTTTAGAAACATTACCTCCTGGCTGGTTAGGGAAAACTGAATTGCGATTATTAAAATGCATTTTAGTAAATCTTGAGAATACTTGAGAGTACTACCAAATGACAATGCTCTGAATCCATGAGAACAGTGGAAACTCATTAAGTAATGGTTTCAAAATTTTAAAAATGCTTTCCTAGATTTCTTTTTATTCTCAAATAAAAAGGCTGTCTAACTCAAATTCAATTGATTCAAATTCGTGGTTTTCTGGTCTTTGTATTTAAAATTAGTAAAGATTTAATGAAATACCAAATACACACCTCTTCTTTTTATGGATATATTGGCTATCCCAAATTTCTTCAGGAGTTCTAACATTCCTCCCAGAGTAACAACTGCTGAATGTTAACCTACCAAATGTTTTCAAATTTTCTGTAAGAAAAGAGTTTTTTTCCCATTTAAAAAAAATTTGATTGTATTTATTTTATAGGATAGCTTGAAATGGAAGGCTGATGCTCCACTTAAGGACCGTACTCTGTCTATACTGACTGTTTTGTTTATAGCCTGTACCAAGGTTATTCTTATTAAGCATAAAATGTTGATTAAGCTGAAAATGTAAAATAAGGCAATAAAATATCAAGATTTGGTAAACCACTTAAAAGAGAAAAACCTATGCAATATATTATATCAACAAACCACATGTCAAAACAGAAATTCTCACTTAAGGAAAATAAGGTACATCTGAGCAGCATAAATGTTCTAACACTAGTTTAGCAAACTATGAGCTGTCAAGTTCCAATAACCTATTATTCACACCTCTTTAATCACTTCCACAGAGTTGATTATAAATAGCCTCATACACTTTTAAATAAGGTCATTCTGAAATGAAACAAAGAAGGTAGTAAATATTTTTGTACATAAGGGACTCAAATCCTAACGTACAACAGAACTGTGTATTACTCAAATATTCAATATAAGAAAAGTAACAAAACCTTTTCTTAACTATGTCAAGTATGCACTATATGTAGATTCAATGGAATACCTAAATTGCAGCACCATTTAAATATAGCAGCTTAAATAAAATATCATCCCCAGTAAGTTTCACTCATATTACTAAGCCTCTGGGCATTATTCATGATATAGTAAAATATAATAATCAATTTGTTGATCTAGCTGGAACAATGTTATGCAAAGTCATGATGAAAAGACTAGTCTGCAAAAAAAAATTTATAGTCTCACTGATGATGGCATTGGTTTGCAATAACTCCATAAAGCTGATGGTATAAATGCATTTCTTCAAAGTGAATTTACGTAAACACATATTAGAGAAAACGTAAAATGTTGTAATGAAATGGAAGAACATTTTCCAAAACAATTAAATTAAAATTGAGTATAATGGGGTAAATGGGGTTGGCTGAAATCAACCAAACAAAAGAAAAACAACAACAACAAAAAAACAAAAGCAAATATTTGGCTTTGTATGAAGTATACTTTCTAAAAATTGATCATTACAGAATCTCTAAGAAACATATAAACTATCCTTATTATTCTGGAGTCGTTTTCTATCATGACAGCATCTTAAATGATTATCTGCTGAAATTAGAGTAGCATACTCCTAAAATTTCTCTTTTAAGAACTAGGCCTGAAGAACAACTGATAACAAGTAGCTACAATTACAGTTGCTTTTAACTATTTAAAAATTTCTCATGAAGGTTTCAAACTAAAAACCCTGAAGTTTTCTGGATGAACAAACTTGCTATATAGCCAGCTTTTCTCATTTTTTCCTACAACTAGCCGCTTATAGATAACTCAAGAGATAATACATTATGTTTGGGAAGAGGTAAATTAGAGGTTTTGACTAATTGCTTAAACACTGATCCTCATGCATTTGCATTATATAGTAACACAACCTTTTGGGAGTATACCTATTGCATAAACCTTTGTTACTGGAATAATTTGAAAATAGAAAAGAAGTTGGATACATGCATAATATTAACAAGTTTCACAATCTTTTAAAAAATTACATGCAAGTCCCAATTTCTACTTAATCATTTCCTTCACCTGGTTGTAGAAATGCTTACTTAAAAACATTTACTGCACACAAAAAATTAGTCACCTCTGTTCTGTTTTCCATAAGACATACTTTTTAAACAAAAGCTTTTAGTTAATTGTGGTAAATTAAATATCTTCTGACAAGGTGAGTATAATAGAAAATGGTTGACCATAGAGAAAACCGGGAGACTAATTTGCCCACATTCCAGAAGAGCTGCATGAAGATTTCTGAAATGTAGGCATTGTATCCATATGAAGCACTTCTAATTTTACACTCCTATGCCACAGTCATCAATATTTTATTGGAAGAATTCTCACATGAAAAAGTACATTTATATATACATTTATATATATACATGTATATATATATACACACACACCATGAAATGCTACGCAGCCATTAAAAAGAATGAAATCATGTCCTTTGCGGCAGCATGGATGCAGCTGGAGTCTGTCATCCTAAGCAAATTAACACTGGCACAGAAAACCAAATACTACATGTTTTTACTTCTAAGTGGGAGCTAAGCATTGGGCACACATAGACATAAAGATTGGAACAGACACTGGGGACAACCAAAGGGGGGAACAAAAGAAAAGGAGTAAGGGCTGGAAAGGTACCTATTGGGCACTATGCTCAGTATTTGAGTGACAGGATCATTTGCACCCAAAACCTTAGCATCACACAATATATCCACATAGCAAACCTACACATGTACCCCCAACTCTAAAATGAAAGCTGAGATTATAAAATTATTTAAAAGGAAATATAGATTTTTTGAAAAGTACATTTCTGATATGAAAGCTATGTTCTTCCAAGGCCATGCATCTAATGATGCTACTGCACCATCTTTAATGCTGTTTAACTCAACAGTTTAATTTTACTGTTTAATTCAACAGTAAAACCAGGTAAGGGTCTTTGGGGAAACAATAATCTGAAGATACTGTCTCTAACTTAGTTCTCTTTTAAGAATGAATATAAAATTCTCCTTAGAGCCAATATTCTACAACCTTAAACATGTACTGCACATTTCACAATATGAAGATTCCTGAACATTTTCTTTGGTCCACACATCAAAACTAAGGTAACTGAGATGATAATTCCTACTTTCTACTTCATAGCTTCAGAACTTCACTCAAATGTGAAGAACTATAATTAAGATCCTCTGCTACTACCGTACCCTATGCCAAGCACTTTGCTTTTCCCACACTCTCTGGAGTGACTTACAGGGCTTCAAGATGAAAAGGCTTTGCCCCATTCAAAACATCTATTTGAAAGACTGGTCTTGTGACTTTAATACATGCTGGTCAGTGGGGAGAAAAAGAATAAAGAACTGTAGGCCAGAGTAACAAAACCCCGTCCAGAAAGGATGGCCTGTAGTTCAAATGTGTATCTATGGATCAAAGCAAACACAGGTTTAATCAGGGTCAATGTTTGTGTCTAAGGGGATCAGAGGTGGTCACTTGAAATCAGCGGGGAGGGGGGGAATACTGTGATTTGAGTTGGTGCAGTGATTGATTTACTCAAAACATGTATTGAGCTTTTGTCACAGGTCAGGCACTTTATAGTTAAGAAAATTAATAAATCAGTTTCTATCCCCAAGGATCTCACTAGTAGAGGAGACAGGCATGTAAATAAATTATAATAAAATATGGTAGTTTTAATTGACAGAAACAACTTCAATCCAGGTAGAGAACAAAGAGAAAAGAAGGATTGACTTTCTCAAGGATGGACACTGGAGATAGGTTTCTAGAAATGGAAAGGCTTTAGCAGGGAGGCAATGTCTAAGCTTTTTTTTTCCTAAGCTGGGTTTTAACAGATAAACCAATCAGATAAAAAGAGAGATGAAGGTCATTTCAGAAAGAGAAAAGAGAACTGCTCCCTCCATGCAAATTCCACCAAGCTATCCTTAAATTAGCAGCAGACGCCTGACAGCCTTAAGTTTGCAAGATACTGAATTTTGCTAGATAGCAGATGGTTGAATTCAGGTGTAAAGGCTACACTTAAATTGTAAGAATGTATTTGTTTTATCAATATAACTTGAAACCACTGGTAGATTAATACCACATGGTTGTCCCAACCCATGCATGTGTAGCCCCTCTCATAAGTCACAACCCACACCGATACTCTTCTAAGGTACCCTGGCATAAAAGGACAATACTCCTCCATGCCATGGAGGGTGCATCTGCTAGAACTCACTAACACAACTGCCTGTCCCCCATCTAAGTAAGGTTCTCCCAATCATCCATGCACAGTTTTCCCTACCTGGAGTGGCTGGAGCTAAAATCAGTCACTCTCCCCTAGGCTTCTCCCTAAATTGGTACAAGGCAGGCAAGAAACAGCATTTGTTTTATTATCTGATGAGTTTATGTTTTTCAGCAAATGACTGGAGAAAAAAGTGCCTGCTCTTAGCTTTATTTTTAGAACAAGAAAATTGGTCCTCAGCCAATGAAAAATAAGAGGTACAGGGTCAAGAAACAGGCTGGACTGTTGATGAGATGTTTTGAGAAATCTCGATATCTACGGAATGAAGGAAGAGAAAGAATGGTGAAGAAGTCATCAAAGATATAATGAGACTGAGACAAGCATCACTTGTTGGAAACTAAAAGATGTGAGAGTTTTTACTAAAAAGCAAGTGAGGTGGCCACAATTCTAAGATGACTGACCTCCAATGATCCATGGTCTTCTATCATCCCCTTCCCTTGAGTATAAGTAGGACCTGAGAATATGATGGAATATTACTGTTGTGATTATGTTATCTGGCAAATGTGAAGTGATTCTGCATATGTAATTAAGGTACCCAAACAGCTATTTGTGTTTATCAAAGGAGATTATCCTGGGAGAGCCTGATGTAATCAGGTGAACCCTTAAAAGAGGAGTTAGGCCTTCCCTGAATTCAGAGAGGCAAAGCAGTAAACTCTCTCTATTCTGCCACTTGTGAAAAGGTGAAGAGCCATATTGTGAACTGCCTGTGGAGAGAAGCAACCTTCCTACAAGCACAAGGGAACAAATTCTGTCAAGAACCTGAATGATCTTGGAAGAGGACCCTGAGCTAGATATGAGAATGTAGCCTGGCTGGTACCTTGATTGCTGCCTTAAGCAGAGGAGCCAGCTAAGCAGTGCCTGGACTCCTGACCCATGGAAGCACGAGACAATAAATACGTGTTGTTTAAATCACTAAATTTCTTGTCATTTGTTACGCAGCAATAGAAGGTTAATCCATTAAGGAAGGTCCCAGCTTTTCTAAGAGTAAAGAAGAATCAGGATTTAATTTTTAGGTTGTCCGGTCCTGGGCACATGTGTTATAGGACTTAAGAGTGGCTGTATTTTCAGCAAAGGTCATCGAAGTAGAAATTTAGTAGTATACATTAGAACAAAGAGGAGGTAGGAGAAAATGTAATTAAATTGTTAAGAGATCTCATCTTCACCTAGGATATTCCAGATACTGAGGCTGGGACTACAGACAGGCTAATTCCAGACATACTACTTCGGAGGTATGAGGCCAACATACCGCCTGCTCTACTCAGCTCTGGTTACCCAGACTACAAGCCACTTGATGGCAGATATCATGCCTAACTTATTCATTCAGTCTGTATCCTCAGCTCTCAGCCAGTACCTGGCACAGCTTAAGCACTTCTCGAATGAATGAATAAATGCTTTGTTTTCACCCTTGGCAAGATGAAGCAGCAGTTCAAAATATCTAAAGTTTTATGAGGAAAAATTAGTACAAATCAGCAACACTTCATGATTCCTCAAAAATATCCAACTTAACTCATGGTTAAAGTGCAAATAATTTGAGATGTTACAACAGAGGCAGTGATCTAGTCATCATTCAGCTAACCACAAAATGGTGAATGAGTGCCCACTATGTGGCGGATATGAGAATATGACTCCTGTAACTGATGTCCCCATACTCACTCATTCTACCTGTTCTCTTAGCAAATCTCCACACATTAGCCATAGTATAATTAATATTTTAATAAAACAAGTCATCTTATATTATTCCACTATTCAAAACCTTTTGATGATTTTTTCATTACACTGAGGATAAAATCGAAATCCCTAACTTGGCTGTCCATAATCTGGGTTCTACCTCCCTCTCCGGCTTTACTGCTGCCACAAACCTTATCCCCCCAGGGCATTCATGCATGTTACAGCCTCTGCCTACACCACTGTCTACCACCAGCTCATTGTTCAGATCTCCACTTAAGTTTCTATCTAAATGTCATTTCTTTACAGATCTCTCAATGTAAGTGACCTCTTCTGTACAGCATTTATCTCACAGCTTATAGTTACAGGATTACTTTCTAATATCCATCTCTGGCATTATACTGGAAACTCCATGAGGTCAGGGATTGTGTCTATTTTGCTCAGAGAAACATTACTAGTACTAAGAATACAGGATGAGCATACCTTATCCAAAATCCTTGAGAAAAGAAGTGTTTGGATATCAGATTTTTTTTTGAATATGTACATTATACTTACTGGTTCAGCATCCCTAGTCTGAAAATCTGAAATCTAAAAATGTTCCACTGAGCATTTCCTTTGAGCATCATATTGGCACTCAACAAGTTTCAGATTTTGGAGCATTTCAGATTTGGGACGCTCAACCTGTATACACATTTTTGTTGAATAGATGAAAGTAAATTCCTAGGAGCCTACTCAATCACAAAGGGTGAAACCTATTGCTACTACCAGTCAGAACACAAAGCCCCAGTTAGTAACATGATGTGACTCTAGAACACAATTCCTAACCTCAGTAGAGTACAGAGAGAAGCAAGCAACCAAGGAAACTAACACTTCTACCACCCCACCAAAACGCACAGCAAAATAAACCTTAAACAACATCAAAACCAAACTAGTTCTGTTTTTATTTTTTAAATATTGAGCTAAAGTTAAAATTTTAAAATTCTTAAGAATTCTACTGTTAAGAAAATAAAGGTTTTAAAAAATCACTGATTTAAAATCCTTTAAGACCTGGCTCCTGGCATTCTTCTGCAGCTCAAAGACTGTGCCTATATCCCCCCATCCACTCCGTCCAAACAAATCTACATTCTGGCCTTGGAAAATGACTTCTTCCAACTCCCCTTGGTGTTTTGTTTTGTTTTTGCCACTGGGTATTTGTTCATATTCCCCTTGCAGGAATCCTCCTGCTCTTGTCTGCTGCTTGCCTCTGTTTAGCCATCCCTTCCTCTCAGAGGTGGCGCTGGCATTCCTACATGGGAAGGTTTAGGGTGGCACTCTTTAGGGAGTGCATGCTGGATATTTGACTTCCAGGTGTATTCCCATAGCAAACACACACTGTTACTTTGTTTCATTTGGTATAATTTAGGAGACTGAAGGAGATTATCAGGCACTAAAATTTCCTAATTCCCTCCTTGGTGCAGAGGCTGCTTCTACTAAAAAAGTTTGCTTGACACTCCTAGAAGAGACTAGGTACTCTATACTCTTGTATTTACCTGTATTCAAGAACTTATACTATATTAGGGATGTCTGTCAACCTATCTTTCCCACTAGACTATAAGCAGGCTGAGAGAATAGACTGTCTTTTCATGATTGTAGTCCAGAAATCCAGCAAAATGCCTGGAACATAGTAGATGTTCAATTTTTTTTTTTACTGAATCAAGCACTTTATGAAACCCTATTATGTTCAAAGTACCATATTGGGTGTTCAGAATGAGGAACAGAGATACTGCCTGGTTAAAAATATGAAATGCAAAATATTTAAAATAGCTTAAAATAAACAAAACATCAGGAAATATGGAAGACAGTAAATATTAGAAACTTCTATTAACCAGCATTCCTACAAATCTAAATTTCTAAGTAGAACACCTTATATATCACCGAAGAAGCACTAAATACATTACAATATATTTTCTTATGGTGTGAACTTTTACTGAATAAAGAGTGCTTAGTGTTGTTAAGACAGTATGTGATAAGCCACTCATTAACCAGAATACGCAATTTCCTCTAGATACTCTCAGGATCCAGAATAAAAAGAATGATCCAAGTCAGATGACTACACCAACCTAAACCTCACACCTCACAGGGTAGTTTTAGCTATGATTTTTAAAATTTTAAGGAGGAGAAGGAGTACATCCTTGAAGAGGAAAGATGATGCACTAGGACAAGAAGTGGGAACAGACACACATTGTGCTAAGAATGAATGTTACCATAAGGAGACTGGCATGAAAGAACAAGAATAAGTGAGATTTGGAGAACTCTAAATTTTTAGGCTGAGTTTAGTTTAGATTTGATAACCAACTGGGGACTATAAGTCCTAGCCTGGGGATGGAAAATATACAAATATTGTTTAAATAAATTGTTGGCACATTGTAGGTCCTCAAAGGTCTGCTGAATAAATAAGTTCATGACTAAATGTATTTGAGCAGTGCAAGACTGAGGCATGGTTCTCAGCATGGATGCTGATGTGGTAAACCAGGTATAAAAAGATGAGAGCCAGGGACTAGGGTAGCAGCTATAGAACTGGACAATAATGGTTTTGTAAGTATTCTAACAGCCCAAGTTTTTGCACTGAAGCTCATTTCATTAATCAGAGCAATGCTACCAATAAAAACTTTGGGGGCTTTTATGGTATGATCAAGAAGATGTTTGAT
Source organism: Homo sapiens (assembly GCF_000001405.40). Classification (NCBI taxonomy): domain Eukaryota; kingdom Metazoa; phylum Chordata; class Mammalia; order Primates; family Hominidae; genus Homo; species Homo sapiens. Next base: position 31,416,798 of record NC_000010.11, on the reverse strand, counting down.
GAAAGCGTTTAATTTGGTAAATATGTGCCCATGTTTTTGAGTCATTGGATTAAATACAAAATGTGCAACTGAATTTATTCCTTCTATGCGCTTCTATTTTTCTCTCTGGTGCTCTAAAACAGGACTTAGGTACATTGTAATATCTTTATAAAGCACTTTGATATCTTTAGTCAAATGGCATATTTTAAATTTTGCTTCAATATCTAATAGGAAGAATGACTAAAGAGTTGAGGATTCACATTCCACATTTTACACAAAAACCTACATAATAGTCTTGCACCACACTAATTAAAATGGAAGACCAGAAATGTTGTCTTCCATTTAATCGTTTGGTTCAAGACCATTATGTAGGTAATTGTGAGCTTATGACAAGACTGGAAAATATACATCAGCACAACATCATCTGAGGGTAAGAAATAAATTAGTATTTTATTCTGCTTTGCATTAAAGTAGTAAGCCATAAAAAATGAAAATGCTTAACATTCAATTATATCAATAGCTTAGAAGTCTACAGCACACAAAAAATTAGGAACTCACTTATAAATATATTTAGAACTAAATCGTCTTTCCTAAAGTATGAAGTATTAAATCATAATCAAGAACACCAAAAATAGTCACGATAGTCTTTGTAACTATATGTTAGTATTAAACAACACTTCATATTTGAAATCTGAAAAAAAATCACTTCTTAGATAATCACACTTCTACACAGGGCAAAACTGTAACTGAGAAAATAATTTCAAATGTTTCAACCATTTTTATACCAGCAAAGATAAGAAGACTAATAAGATATTAGTATTTACAACTAAGATTATTAGAAATAATTCCAGTCTCAATTAACAATTAGATATCCCATGTTCTAACGCTCTCTTAAATTTTTGGATGTCAACCTGGACAGCTCTTAAAACACTGGAGAAATTCTGAGTAACTTTTTTATTATTGTATTACAATGAAAGAGAAATCAACCATTTTTGCCAAGAATCAGCTATAAAGTATTATGAAACAAAATAACCAATCAATATTAGTGTTTCTAGATTGCCCTTTAGAAGGCAAAAAAGACAACAAATATCCCAAATACAGATTTTGCTTTCAAATGAAGTTTTCCCTTTATATATATTTAGAACAATCCTTTCGAACTGTATTTATAAAACTGATGAAGGTATGTTAAAGCAGAGCAAATGATAAAAGTCTATGTATGCCAGAAACCAATTACATAACTGAAAAATATCTGATAATTTAAACAAGTCCAATAAGATTTTTTTTTAAATTATAATTTTTTTAAAAGTATAGAAGAATCTTTTACTTGAGAAAAATTAGAAAACGAACATGGTCGAAAAGACTTTAAAATATATGTGATTCCACCACCCATAGATAATGGCTTCTCCCAAAACCTTACCACCACACACACAGGATCAAAGAGATATTTTTCTATACTCGTGATTAGTAGAAGTAGTAGTAGTAATAGTTGCAGCAGCATCAACAGCAGCAGCTAGAATTCTTAGGGTATCATCCTTGCTTAATGTAGACAGTAAAGGGGCTATATATTTTACTAGCACTGTACCATCTTTGCACAGAAATCCTGTTCTCTCTCTGTCGAACAGTTAATTCTATTGAAAACATAGACTTTATATTCCAAAGGGAAACCTTAAAGGCATGGCATTCTACCATCAGCAGTGCCTAGCAGATGAAAGTTCTTTGTAACGTAAGAAGATGGAGGTGGGCAAAGTGGATTGTAAAATGATTTTGAACAAGCAACAATGTACAACTGATAATTTGAATTGAATGAAATCTATGATTCCTGGTTCTCAATAACCTTCTGTGAGTGAGTCTGATCCCTTCATGTTGTTTCAGTTTTAATCTATAATCAATGATTAAGTTTTACAAAGTATGAACAATGCTTTTATCATTCTTTGAGATTTGTGTGCTTTATTTAAATCAAAAATATGGTTTATAATGCTATTTATAACCAAGTGAGGACTGAATTTGACTTTGCTGAGGGAATTTGCAAAACAGAAAGGAGACAGTTATGACAGGTAAAGGGTTTAGCAGAAATATCATGAAGTGTCCACTATGATGCTACACAGAACAGGATATCATGATCAGACATTCTGTAATGAGTTACCATAGGTAGAAATGTGAAAATATCAACTCACAACCTCTAAAATCACTGAGTCATCAATGCAGATACAGAATTAGAGATTGTGCCTTAGTTGAGAAGTAAATTTCATAACTAAAATTAGAACTATAATCAGTTGCATGTAGTAGCCCCTCTAATTTTCAAATTTATTTTAAAGTATTTATGTTTTTATAGGAGCTACATAAGATAGTGATGCATTTGTTATGCTCCAATTAACCTTTTAACAAAACAACTAAAGAGAAAACACCTGACAATCAATTTCATGAGGACAAATTTATAAAACTGTAATCCAGTGTATACATACAAACCAAAAATTTTGGCAAACACCACAATGCATTTAATTTTTTTCATTAAATTACTACCTATTCAGTAGAGTTATTATTACCAGTTGAGAAGATAGAAAAAACAAGTAACATGTACAATTAAAGCTCAACTATTATGTGCCATGCACTATGTTGTGTGCTTTTACACATTAACTTATTGAATTCTGAAAATGGCAATATTGTTTTATTAACTCCATGTTATATATGAAAAAACTAAGGTCAGAGAGATAAAGCAACTTGCAAAAGATTGTACCTATGATTAAAAAGGGTAAAAGGAAACGATAAGTCAAAAATGATTCCGAATTTGCTAGTGCTTGGATGTGCCATCAAGAGGAGAAGGCAATTTGGAAGGGGCGGTCTTTGCAGGGCTGACAGGAAAAGAGGGGCTTGTGGCTATGGACAAGCTCTAATGCATGAGCAGGAAACCAACAGAGCTGTTTAGGGTCAGTTAGAAACACAGATTGGCAGAAAGACCAAGAAATTTTCCCTTTTTTATCAAGTTAATCGCTATGAAATTATAAAAATGTTTAGCCTATAAACAAAATTAAATTGTACTAAATTGCAGTCTTAAAGATACAGACTGTATCTATATTCTTAATAGTCAATATTTTTTATGAGTAGCCCTATTTAGAGATCATATTTTTCTCTTTCAAACTTTTTGCCCTGAAGGAAAACCACTAAATGCCTCTTGGTGGACTCTGCTATCAGTGAGCTCACCAGCCTGTATCAGCTTACTCCTTATCTTTCATATCTGTTTGTCTCATTCCTTTTTAACAAATCTGTTCAGTTCCTTTGTCCAATAGGTTTTGCTTTCTATTTCTACACCACTACCAGTCTACGACCAACTACCAGTGTTTCTCTCCCTCTCTATCTGCAATGACACATTCCCTTCCTTTTTCACTGAAGCTTATCAAAAGCAATTTCTCCCATCATCTACACAATACCTAAAACTCCATCTCCTGTGAAAAGTTTCCCTAGGCTAAAGAAAAAAATGCATTTTTTGCTAGACTATTCTGGCAGATACAAGGGCTTATTACCTAAGAAGCCCAAAAGGCACTTACCACTTTATCAGTATATTCTTTGATTTACGCTACTTGTTTAGTTGCTTGCAGATCCTTCTATATGTCTATACTAATGTTGTATGTTTTAGGCATCTGGTGAACAGATATTATATTTACTTCATTTTTACAGTTAATATCTTGTAATAATGTCATGCAAATGAGGTGTAGAACTAATGCTTCTAATGCTGATTTTCCATATAACCTAAGTATATAATCAATCTTGTGATTTTGGATTAAGATAAATGAAAATCATTTTGTCCATCGATTCTATGGCATTTAAAAATTCCTAAATATATGAGTCTTTAAAAATTGTCTGTTTGCCAGACAAGCAATTGCAGGGTAAGTCAGCTGGCTTTATATAGGGCCTCTCTCTCTCAGTTAGTTATACTTCGAGGATACAGGAGAGTTTTACCACCTTCGCTGGATGAATAACAATACTCCCTGCTTAAACTTTCAGCCAGATGCTTTCTGATATCTGTTGGTATTCTTTACACATCCAGGAGAAACTTTCTGAAAAGCTTATTACACTTTGGACTGAAACCAAGGAAATAAAAAACCAAGCCAATGAGTCCATAGCATTCTATAAGCAGTCTTAAAGAGGTGTGCTTTATCCCATCAATGATAGGCTGGATTAAGAAAATGTGGCACATATACACCATGGAATACTATGCAGCCATAAAAAAGGATGAATTGACGTCCTCTGTAGGGACATGGATGAAGCTGGACACCATCATTCTCAGCAAACTATCACAAGGACAGAAAACCAAACACCGCATGTTCTCACTCATAGGTAGGAATTGAACAATGAGAACACTTGGACACAGGAAGGGGAACATCACACACCAGGGCCTGTCATGGGGTAGAGGGAGTGGGGAGGGATAGCATCAGGAGATATACCTAATGTAAATGATGAGTTAATGGGTGCAGCACACCAACATGGCCATTTATACATATGTAACAAACCTGCATGTTGTGCACACGTAGCCTAGAACTTAAAGTATAATAATAAAAAAAGAGGTGTATTTTATCAATTTTAAAACAAATTCTACAAGTGACATCATAATTTAAAAATTAGTATTCCCTTCTCATTTAGTTTATAAAAGTTAGTTCTCTATTATATGTGTAAAAAAGAGAGGAAAATAAGATATTTTGTAAAAGTAGGACATACTTTCACTAAATCTGCAAAGAAATAAGTAATGTTGTAAATATTTCTCTGCATCCTTTTTACAATTGTGCTCCTGAAAAAATGTTTTAGTCTATATCAGGTGGTTTAAACATAATGAATTCTGGTTGAGATCGTGAAATGGAATTACAAATTTTCAAAAAAAATCTTGTATCGACACATTCAAGTTTGCAAGAATCCTTATGAACTTAAGCAATTCCCTCCCCAACCCCAGTTATTCCACAGTTTATTAGAATAAAAGGTAACTCTCAAATGAAATGATGTAAAAAATTTGGTTTTAGTTGGATTGTGCAGTAAACAAAATAAGCAAAACTTTAGAAAGAAAGAGACCCAGAAAAAGAGCCTAGGTTAGGGTGTCGATTTTAGTTCTTTCCTGCTTTCTCTTGTGGGAGAGAAATTTATAGCATTTAGTGCTATAAATTTCTCTCCTAATGCTGCTTTTTTTTTTTTTTTTTTGAGACGGAGTCTCGCTCTGTCGCCCAGGCCGGACTGCGGACTGCAGTGGCGCAATCTCGGCTCACTGCAAGCTCCGCTTCCCAGGTTCACGCCATTCTCCTGCATCAGCCTCCCGAGTAGCTGGGACTACAGGCGCCCGCCACCGCGCCCGGCTAATTTTTTTGTATTTTTAGTAGAGACGGGGTTTCACCTTGTTAGCCAGGATGGTCTCGATCTCCTGACCTCATGATCCACTCGCCTCGGCCTCCCAAAGTGCTGGGATTACAGGCGTGAGCTGCTTTAACTGTGTCCCAGAGATTCTGGTATGGTGTGTCTTTGTTCTCATTGTTATCAAAGAACTTATTTTTTTCTGCCTTAATTTAATTATTTACCCAGTAGTCATTCAGGAGCAGGTTGTTCAGTTTCCATGCAGTTGTGAGGTTGTGAGTGAGTTTCTTAATCCTGAGTTCTAATTTGATTGCACTGTGGTCTGATATACTGTTATGATTTCCGTTCTTTTGCATTTGCTGAGGAGTGTTTTACTTCCAACTATGTGGTTGATTTTAGAATAAGTGCATCACAATTAAAAGAACTAGAGAAGCAAGAGCAAACAAATTCAAAAGCTAGCAGACGACAAGAAATAACTAAGATCAGAGCACAACTGAAAAAGATAGAGACACGAAAAACCCTTTAAAATAATCAATGAATCCAGAAGCTGGTTTTTTGAAAAGATTAACAAAATAGATAGACTGCTAGCCAGACTAATAGAGAAGAATCAAACAGACACAATAAAAAATGATAAAGGGGATATCACCACTGATCCCACAGAAATACAAACTACCATCAGAGAATACTATAAACACCTCTATGCAAATAAACTAGAAAATCTAGGAAAAAATGAATAAATTCCTGGACACATATACCCTCCCAAGACTAAACCAGGAAGATGTCAAATCCCTGAATAGACCAATAACAAGTTCTGAAACTGAGGCAGTAATTAATAGCCTACCAACCAAAAAAAGCCCAGGACCAGATGGATTCACAGCTGAATTCTACCAGAGGTACAAAAAGGAGCTGCTACCATTCCTTCTGAAACTATCTCGAACAACAGAAAAAGAGGGACTCCTCCCTAACTCATTTTATGAGGCCAGCATCATCCTGATACCAAAACCTGGTAGATACACAACAAAAAAAGAGAATTTCAGGCCAATATCCCTGATGAACATTGGGGCAAAAATCCTCAATAAAATATTGGCAAACTGAATCCGGCAGTGTATCAAAAAGCTTATCCACCACGATTAGGTCAGCTTCATACCTGGGATGAAGCTGCAACACATGCAAATCAATCAACATAATCCATCACATAAACAGAACCAATGACAAAAACGACATAATTATCTCAATAGATGCAGAAAAGGCTTTTGATAAAATTCAACACCCGTTCATGCCAAAAACTCTCCAGGAACTAGGTATTGATGGAACGTAACTCAAAACAGTAACAGCCATTTATGACAAACCCACAGCCAATATCATGCTGAATGGGCAAAAGCTAGAAGCATTCCCTTTGAAAACCGGCACAAGACAAGGATGCCCTCTCTCACCACTCCTATTCAACATAGTATTGGAAGTCTGGCTTGGGCAATCACGCAAGAGAAAGAAATAAAAGGTATTCAAATAGGAAGAGGGGAAGTCAAATTGTCTCTGTTTGCAGATGACATGATTGCATATTTAGAAAACCTCATTGTCTCAGCCCCAAATCTCCTTAAGCTGATAAGCAACTTCAGCAAAGTCTCAGGATACAAAATCAATGTGCAAAAATCACAAGCATTCCTATACACTAATAATAAACAAACAGAGCCAAATCATGAGTGAACTCCCATTTACAACTGCTACAAAGAGAATAAAGTACTTAGGAATACAACTTACAAGGGATGTGAAGGACCTCTTCAAGGAGAACTAAAAACCACTGTTCAAGGAAATAAGAGAGGACACAAACAAATGGAAAAACATTCCATGCTCATGGATAGGAAGAATCAGTATCGTGAAAATGGCCATACTGCCCAAGGTAATTTACAAATTGAATGTTATCCCCATCAAGCTACCATTGACTCTCTTCACAGAATTAGAAAAAACCACTTTAAACTTCATACGGAACCAAAAAAGAGCCCGTATAGCCAAGACAATCCTAAGCCAAAAGAACAAAGCTGAAGGCATCATGCTACCTGACTTCAAACTATACTACAAGGCTACAGTAACCAAAACAGCATGGTACTGGTATCAAAACATATAGACCATTTCTAGTTCTAGATCCCTGAGGAATCGCCACACTGACTTCCACAATGGTTGAACTAGTTTACAGTCCCACCAACAGTGTAAAAGTGTTCCTATTTCTCCACATCCTCTCCAGCACCTGTTGTTTCCTGACTTTTTAATGATTGCCATTCTAACTGGTGTGAAATGGTATCTCATTGTGGTTTTGATTTGCATTTCTCTGATGGCCAGTGATCATGAGCATTTTTTCATGTGTTTGTTGGCTGCATAAATGTCTTCTTTTGAGAAGTGTCTGTTCATGTCCTTTGCCCACTTTTTGATGGGGTTGTATGTTTTTTTCTTGTAAATTTATTTGAGTTCATTGTAGATTCTGGATATTAGCCCTTTGTCAGATGAGTAGGTTGCAAAAATTTTCTCCCATTTTGTAGGTTGCCTGTTCACTCTGATGGTAGTTTCTTTTGCTGTGCAGAAGCTCTTTAGTTTAATTAGATCCCATTTGTCAATTTTGGCTTTTGTTGCCATTGCTTTTGGTGTTTTAGACATGAAGTCCTTGCCCATGCCTATGTCTTGAATGGTAATGTCTAGGTTTTCTTCTAGGGTTTTTATGGTTTTAGGTCTAACGTTTAAGTCTTTAATCCATCTTGAATTGATTTTTGTATAAGGTGTAAGGAAGGGATCCAGTTTCAGCTTTCTACATATGGCTAGCCAGTTTTCCCAGCACCATTTATTAAATAGGGAATCCTTTCCCCATTGCTTGTTTTTCTCAGGTTTGTCAAAGATCAGATAGTTGTAGATATGCGGCGTTATTTCTGAGGGCTCTGTTCAGTTCCATTGATCTATATCTCTGTTTTGGTACCAGTACCATGCTGTTTTGGTTACTGTAGCCTTGTAGTATAGTTTGAAGTCAGGTAGTGTGATGCCTCCAGCTTTGTTCTTTTGGCTCAGGATTGACTTGGCGATGCAGGCTCTTTTCTGGTTCCATATGAACTTTAAAGTAGTTTTTTCCAATTCTGTGAAGAAAGTCATTGGTAGCTTGATGGGGATGGCATTGAATCTGTAAATTACCTTGGGCAGTATGGCCATTTTCACGATATTGATTCTTCCTAGCCATGAGCATGGAATGTTCTTCCATTTGTTTGTATCCTCTTTTATTTCCTTGACCAGTGGTTTGTAGTTCTCCTTGAAGAGGTCCTTCACATCCCTTGTAAGTTGGATTCCTAGGTATTTTATTCTCTTTGAAGCAATTGTGAATGGGAGTTCACTCATGATTTGGCTCTCTGTTTGTCTGTTGTTGGCATATAAGAATGCTTGTGATTTTTGTACATTGATTTTGTATCCTGAGACTTTGCTGAAGTTGCTTATCAGCTTAAGGAGATTTTGGGCTGAGACAATGGGGTTTTCTAGATATACAATCATGTCATCTGCAAACAGGGACAATTTGACTTCCTCTTTTCCTAATTGAATACCCTTTATTTCCTTCTCCTGCCTAATTGCCCTGGCCAGAACTTCCAACACTATGTTGAATAGGAGTGGTGAGAGAGGGCATCCCTGTCTTGTGCCAGTTTTCAAAGGGAATGCTTCCAGTTTTTGCCCATTCAGTATGATATTGGCTGTGGGTTTGTCATAGATAGCTCTTATTATTTTGAGATACGTCCCATCAATACCTAATTTATTGAGAATTTTTAGCATGAAGTGTTGTTGAATTTTGTCAAAGGCCTTTTCTGCATCTATTGAGATAATCATGTGGTTTTTGTCTTTGACCCAGCCATCCCATTACTGTGTATATACCCAAAGGACTATAAATCATGCTGCTATAAAGACACATGCACACGTATGTTTATTGCGGCATTATTCACAATAGCAAAGACTTGGAACCAACCCAAATGTCCTACAATGATAGACTGGATTAAGAAAATGTGGCACATATACACCATGGAATACTATGCAGCCATAAAAAATGATGAGGTCATGTCCTTTGTAGGGACATGGATGAAATTGGAAATCATCATTCTCAGTAAACTATCGCAATAACAAAAAACCAAACACCGCATGTTCTCACTCATAGGTGGGAATTGAAGAATGAGAACACATGGACACAGGAAGGGGAACATCACACTCTGGGGACTGTGGTGGGGTGGGGGGAGGGGGGAGGGATAGCATTGGGAGATATACCTAATGCTAGATGACGAGTTAGTGGGTGCAGTGCACCAGCATGGCACATGTATACATATGTAACTAACCTGCACATTGTGCACATGTACCCTAAAACTTAAGGTATAATAATAATAAATAAATAAATAAATAAGAAGTTAAAAATAAACAAAAAAACAAAACATATAGACTAATGGAACAGAACAGAGGCCTCAGAAATAACACCACACATCTACAACCATCTGATCTTTGACAAACCTGACAAAAAACAAGCAATGGGGAAAGGATTCCCTATTTAATAAATGGTGTTGGGAAAACTGGCTAGCCATATGCAGAAAACTGAAACTGGAACCCTTCCTTACACCTCATACAAAAATTAACTCAAGATAGATTAAACACTTAAACATAAGACCTAAAACCATAAAAAACTCTAGAAGAAAAACTAGGCAATACCATTCAGGACACAGACATGAGCAAACACTTCATGAACAAAACACCAAAAGCAATGGCAACAAAAGCCAAAATTGACAAATGAATGTAATTAAACTAAAGAGCTTCTGCACAGCAAAAGAAACTATCATCAGAGTGAACAGGCAACTGAGAGAATGGGAGAAGATTTTTGCAACCTATCCATCTGACAGAAGGCTAATATCCAGAATCTACAAGGAACTTAAACAAATTTACAAGAAAAAAACAACTCCATCAAAAAGTGGGCAAAGGATATTAACAGACACTTCTCAAAAGAAGACATTTATGCGGCCAAAAAATATATGAAAAAAAAAAAACTCATCATCACTGGTCATTAGAGAAATGCAAATCAAAGCCACAATGAGATATCATCATGCTAGTTAGAATGGCGATCATTAAAAAGTCAGGAAACAACAGATGCTGGAGAGGATGTGCAGAACTAAGAATGCTTTTACACTGTTGGTGGGAGTGTAAATTAGTTCAACCATTATGGAAGACAGTGTGGCAATTCTTCAAGGATCTACAACTAGAAATACCATTTGACCCAGCAATCCCATTATTGAGTATATACCCAAAGGATTATAAATCATTCTACTTATAAAGACACACGCATATGTATGTTTACTGCAGCACTGTTCACAATAGCAAAAACTTGGAACCAATTCAAATGTCCATCAATGATAGACTGGATAAAGAAAATGTGGCACATATACACCATGGAATACTATGCAGCCATAAAAAGGATGAGTTCATGTCCTTTGCAGGGACATGGATGAAGTTGGAAACCATCATTCTCAGCAAACTAACGCAGGAACAGAAAACCAAACACCGCATGTTCTCACTCATAAGTGGGAGTTGAACAATGAGAACACATGGACACAGGGAGGGAACATCACACACTGGGGCCTGTTGAGGTGTGGGAGGCTAGGTGGGGGATAGCATTAGGAGAAATACCTAATGTAGATGACGGGTTGATGGGTGCAACAAACCACCATGACACATGTATACCTATGTAACAAACTGCAGATGTATCCCAGAACTTAAATTTTAAAAAAAAAAAGAGCCTAGGTGTAATAGAAACACGTTCCACTTTAAACAGGTGCGTATTAGATAGCTATCAAATAAAACTAGTAAACTGACAGGACTGTGTAAAAACCACAATGGGCTTATAAATTTCTAAATTTTAATTTCCAAAATCTTTAAAAAATAAAGTTTACAAGCACTATAAAGGCAAGAAACAATTACCACTTTAGAAATAATACTAGGAAAGAATAATTACTAAATAATAAAGTACTGTACTGAATATAAAGCATCAGGCTTTATGGGTAAAGAAACACTTTTCTGGGTAAAGCCCAGCACGTAGTAGGTAATTCAGACATACAATTCTGTAATACCAATTGTTTTTACTTCTCAAACTATGTATATTACATACTGACTTGGTAAAGTCTATTGGAAGTTTGACCACCTTTGACACTTCCATAAGAAAATTTAACAAGCTCCTTTTTCCCCTCTCCAATACTTGGGTAAATTACTAAATAACATACATACACACACAACTGCTTTCAAATTAGGTTAATTTTCCACATTTTTTTAAATGTCCGTAAGTCATCATTTAAAAAATAATTCCCATTTTGGCTAATCTGGGAAAAGGAATTAATAACTAAAAAGACAAGAAATTTCTGCTTCCTGTTATTTCTCATCTGCAGAACAGGCTAGATAATTTGTGAGACTCAGTGCAAAATAAAAATTCAGGGCCTCTTGTGTGAAATTGATTAAGAATTTCAACATAGCAGTAGCAGAACATTAAAAAAGCTGAGCCTTGTGTAACTGTACAGGTTGCACACCCATGAAGCCAGCCTGCTCTTTTTCTCCCTGTGACCTTGACTTTGGTTCACACCATCACCCAGTCCAGTCTCCTGTCAAACACTTACTTCCTCTGAAGTCATCCATCTCTGCCTTCTCTATCTTAGCCACCACATGGCTTACATTCATGCTCTAAGCATGCTACTATCTTCAGATTGAAAAAAATAAAAGGAGAGGTGCAGTTTGAACAAGACAAAAGGCAAGATCCAACCCACAGTTTAATGCAGTACCTCCCAATGATCTTTGAATTATTTTAATTGTAACCTAATCTTTACAAGAAAAGAATAGGAGATATAAAATGCATACAAAGATGAACTTCCTAGAAAACTATAAAGTGATTACTATGTCAAAATAAGTAGTGTTTAAAATACAACTAAATATGTATTTTTTTCAGTAAAGGTGAAAACAAATTCCTTCAAGTAGAAGGTATGCATTTTGCTTCTAACCAGAGTATTCAAGTCAGTTAACATATTTTTTAAATGATTTCAAGGCTACAAAGTTGGTAACTTTTTCAGTAAATGAATACTTGCATAGGCAAGTGCTACGTACAGGCAGGTAAAGAATGTATAAAGCAGGTAAGCAGAGGCCTACATTAATTATTAACAAAAAACTATTCATTTATTCTTTTAGAAACAAGAAAAAGAATCACTGTAATAGAGCACAGACTTTAAGAGTTAAAAAAAAAACGGCTGCAGAAAAGGGTACACAGCAATCAGAGAAGCAAGGATTATACTGATATATAATCTTCAGTCATAAATTTGTTGCTTCAAGTACATTGTTCCTGCTCTTAAAAAGAATGTGTTTTACTATTTTTTAAATTTCCAAAAGGATAACATACTGAATCTTTATAACTTGGTGAAAATTTAATATAGTAAATATAGACTAGTCTGTTCATAGTCAACACGTACATAGTTTATTCCTTAAAGACTATGTGAATTTCCAGCAGCAATCTACCTTTCACATTTTCTGCATCTGTTTTAAAATGTATTTTTATTATTTCAGAAATAAAATATGACTTCTGCAGACCTAACAGTTTTACCATATAATTAGCATTATCAATGTGTTTTTATTTAAGGCAAAAGTATAAGAGATGTTAAGAAGTACCTAGTTTGAAACTATTTCTTGGAAATGTTTAAAATCAATTTACAAAAGGAAAGCTGAATATATAATATACATAATATACTAGTAATCACTCTTTAATATCCACAGTATTGGGCATCTTTTAAAGGAGGCAGTGTAAACGAAAATCTGTAAGAATGTTGATTCTATTATTTTGTCTTAGCTAGCAGATAATTAGGATGAAGATTCTTACTTTTAAAAATGAACTTTTTACATACTAGTCTCATCTCTTTAAAGATCATTATTCCATCTAAGAATTGAATATGTTGACACTCTAAATATTTTTAAAATAATTCTTTAGTTTTGTCAGATGTTTTAATCTGCCAGAAAACTGAATATTAGAGAACCCATCATTACATACATGCACACGAGATTCTGATTACAAGAGGAGAATGTAGGTTAAGTGTTTAATACAGGTAAGAATTTGAAAAAGTTTTAACCAAGTCCTCATACTGCAACAATAACTATTACCTGGTAACTGATAAAGGTTACTCTTTATTAAGTATCAGGTTGTATACTCAGTTCTTTACAAACATTGTCTCTAATCCTCACAACAATTCTGAAACTTAGTATTACTATTTCCATTTTACACAGAAAGAAATAAAATCATCCTCCAAAATAAAGCTTTTCATTTCTGTTTACCTAAGGTTACACAGCTAGTAGAGTAATAAAACTAATATTTGAATTCAAGCTAATTCCAAAGCCTGCACCTTTTCTATGGTAAGCCTCTCCTAGATTATATTTACTATATACATATACTTCTATAACATTATTATATTTGTACTGAATTTCTTTCCAAATAATTTATTGGGATTTCTAACAGCTAATAACAAATAGAGCCCCAAAAGATTGTATTAAGAAAAATTGCAGAATGCTTTTTCCAAGTTTGGCTTTATACATCCAATTCTCCTTGCTCCCAATTTTGATCTGCAAGAAGCTTCCTTTGGCAGAAAAAAGATAAAGTGAGATGGCAGTTGTGGCACTTCCGGTGTCAAGTCAAGCATTTCAGGAGTCAGGAAAGTTTAATCTCCAACAGACTCAAGACTGAGCACTTTATCCTTGTTTCATTATAAACCAAAGTCTTCATAAAAGGTCACTAGACAGCAATCATGAAGAAACAGTAATAAAGTTCAAATAAAAAAAAAACACACAGCAATTGTTTCAAAGCTGGAAGAAACTTCAGCAGTCACTAGTAGTTCAATACTTATTTTACAGGTGAGAAAACTGAAAGCCAGAGAAGTATACTATTGTCCAGGGCCCCACCAGTAATTAATCAAAAATTTTCTTAATGCTCAATCAGGGGCTGTGTCCACTCAGTCAGGCTTCCTTTCAAACTAAACTCATCATTTCAGGAATACCTTCTCCTCCCACTCATACAGCTCTTCTTCCTGATCATCAATTTTTTTTTTCTAGGATCGCTATTCTTTAGCCACTCAGGATAATACTTTGGAGTAATCTTAGACAAACATTTATTTTACATCTTCTTTATCATTTAATCAGAAGGCAAATAGTACTGCTAACAAAACCCTTACATTTATACTTTCTTTTCTGTTCTTATTGGATGGTAACCATACCATCTCCAACCTACACTTTTCCTATGTCCTCCTCCTTGGCCTTTCTTCCTTATCTGGTCTTTCATCTTTCCTGTTAACAACAACAACAACAACAACAACAACAGCAACAACAACAACAACAAAATACTGACTTTTGGTTGCCTTCTGGAAGTTGAAACTTTAATCTGGTATTCAAGGTACTGCTCTACCTAGGTACAAACTCCCTTTGCAGGTTTTAGGGTTTTTTTTTTCTTCTTCTGTTTTCTCTAACCTCTATTCTGGCTTCAGTCATTCTTGGAAGAAACCTGTCCTCCATTTTTTCTTGTCTCTGTGCAATTAACCAAGCTTTATTATTATTTTAAAATAACATCTCCACTGCCTATTATGGTTGGAGTTATATCTGTAAGACTGCACCAAACTGTATTCTAAAGGCATCTGGTTAAAAATATATCAGAAAAATTACCATATAAAAGCTTAAAAACCTAGCACGATGTTAAAATTGCAGTAAAATTGATGGGATAACAAATTAGTGGAGTCTCTTCTGCCATAACACTTATTTTGAAAATGCAAATTTGTTTCAGTGCAGTTGGTTTATTAGAGAACTACATGAGCATAAAGAGAATGTCACCTTTGCTTATGCATGATTTTATCTGCGAGAAACACTAAGTGAACACAGAAAATTGCTGCCAGCTTAACTAAGTCACATAAGAATAAACAAAAAGCACACCTGCACACATCTCAAGTTACCAGCCACTTCAGTTCACCGTGCTTCTGTTACGAGCCACACCCATCACATGCAATGTTACAACTTTCCTTCTGATTTCAGATAATCCTCCTTCTACCACTTCACATTAACTTGGAGATCACAATTCCATACCTACTTCCACAAGCAAACATCAGGGTTTGTTCAAGGTAAAAAGTGTCACTTGTATAATAGTAATTATGTATTTCTTAACCATTTAACATATGTAAAACTGTGCTGCACTTGTTATTAGTTTTCTGTCTTTTTAAAAATGTGTCACTGACAAAATTATTGTGGGCTGTACTCCAACCCCATTTTCCTCATAAGCCCTATGATTTTTATTGCCCAATCTAATTCTGGGTAATTAGCTAAAGGAAATAATTTAGGCAAATGCAAGAAGTTATATGCACAAATATATCACCTACCATATTATTAATAACAGTAAAACAAAACAGCCTTAAGATGTCCAACAGGAAGAAAACAATTTATTAATAATGATACATCAGCAAGATGGTCTATTATTAGTCATTTAAAAAGACTATAATGAAACATGAAGAAATGTATGTCATAATTGAGAAAATTTGGATTATGACTCTATTTAAATCAGTTATGCATATAGTCAAGAAAAAATAATTATGAAATTTGAAACTAATTATTTGGTAGCTTTATGTATTTAAAAATTATTTTAAAAAGCAGTTACTTTAACAAAAGCTATGTTGGTAGGCTGAATTAGTATTTGTTCCATGCTTTTTGAAGATGAAAACTTATAAGACACAGAACAAGGATCCTGAAAAGTTCAGTCTCTGTACTGCCTTTGAAACTCTTCTGGAAATTTAAATTATTTTATAAGTTTTTTTGTAAAAAAATTCCTACTGTACTAAATGACTACTTTTAATGATAAAAGATTCTTTTAAAAAGTATTCACATCATAGCATACTCAAATAGTAATCATATTTAAGTTCAAATAATATTTTTTTTTAGTATTCCACACTTTAAAAATAGAATAAATGGTCAAAGCTAAGGATCTGTGCAAAAAAGAAAGTTCTACATATATAATGATACCAATGTATACAGTCATATTTCTAATACCTTTAGCTCCATGCATGTCATTTACTGGAATATTTGAATGCTTATTCAATGATCCCAGGAGCTCTCAAAAATCCCTGAACTATGTTAAAATTTTGTGTTGGCTATTTTTAAATTCCACTTATTTATTAATTCATCAATATTAACTAAGTGTATAACGTGGGCCAAACACTATATTTCTATGTGCTGAGGACAGACCAGTGAACAAAGGAAACAAAAAGCCTTTATATTCTAGTGGAGGAAGGCAAAAAATAAATGAAAAAAGTAGGTAAAATATATGGGATGGTAGATGGTAACAGGTCTTCAAGAAAAGAAACATAAAGCAGGAAGGAGAATTGGGGTGAAGTAGGGGAAATCTGCAATTTTAGATCAAGTGGCTAAAGAAAGCTTCATTAAATTGACATTTAAGTACAAATCTCAAGTAATGAGAGATTGATCCCTGTAG
Source organism: Homo sapiens (assembly GCF_000001405.40). NCBI lineage: Eukaryota > Metazoa > Chordata > Mammalia > Primates > Hominidae > Homo > Homo sapiens. The sequence goes on along the minus strand of NC_000010.11, from coordinate 31,399,961 downwards.
ATATACAGGGAAAGAGTATTACAGAGAACAACCAGTGCAAAGGCTCTAAAGCAAGAACTTGCCTGGCATGTTCTAAGAACAGCAAAGAAGCCAGTGTGGATGACTAGAGCAAAGTGGGTGTGAGCAGGCAGGAGTGGTTGGCAGTGGCTGTCTGGGAATGACAGCCCAGAGCACAGAGCCTGGTAGGCTATTTTAAGAACTTTAGTTTTTATTCTGGTTGAGATGAAAAGTCAATGGAGGATTTTCATCAAAAGAGTGACATAATATGGCTTATATTTAAATATAACTACTTTACCTGCTATATTAAGAATGGACTGAAGTTAAGTCAACAGGAAAAAACAGGAAGACCAATTACAGGAGGCTTTTTGCATCAATACAGGTAAGAGATGAAGGTGATTTGGATCAGGGTTGTAGGAGTAGAGATGGTAAGCAATAACTGAATCTCAGAAATATTTTTGGGACAGAAGCAAGATAATATTTTGGTAACAGAAATGTGAAGAATTATCATATGTGGAATGAAAGGAGGACAGGCATCCTTGGTGACACCAAGGCTGATTAAAAGACAGCAGGTGCTGTTACTCAGATGGGAAAAACTGCCGGAGGAGGTTTTGGTGGGGGAAAGATGAGGAATTCAGTTTACTATATTACATTCTAAGAAGACTACAGGGGCCAGGCACGGAGGCTCACATCTGTAATCCCAGCACTTTGGGAGGCCGTGGCAGGCAGATCACCTGAGGTCAGGAGTTCAAAACCAGCCGGGCCGACATGGTGAAACCCCATTTCTACTAAAATTACAAAAATTAGCCAGGTGTGCTGGCACACGCCTGTAATCCCCGCTACATGGGAGGCTGAGGCAGGAGAATCGCTTGAACCCCGGAGGAGGAGGTCACAGTGAGCTGAGATCATGCCATTGCACTCACTCCAGCTTGGGAGACAGAGCAAAACTCCATATCAAAAAAAAAAAAAAAAAGACTAAAGGACTTCTGATCATTAGCAAATGGATGATCATATAAAGCCATGGTACTATATGAAGTCACTAAGGGAGTGAACATGCAGTTTTAAAGGCCTCAAAATTCCAAATGTTGGAGCATTCCCAATTTGGAGATGGGGAGGCAAGAAGAAATCAGCAAGAGATTGAAAAAGCAGCAGCCAGAGGGGTAGGAGAAAAAAAAACAGGACAGTGTAGTATAGTATCTAAAAGGCCAAACAAGGAGTGTTAAACACCGTTGCCAGGTCAAATAAGAGGAAGACTGAGATGACCATCTGATTGGCAGCATGGCAGTCATTAAGAAGTACAATTCTGGTGAAATGGCAGGGGTTATAGGAACTGAATTCAGACAGCACAGGCAACTACATACTTCAGAGATATAGGCTTTACATGAAAGACATGGGGTAGTAACTAAAGGAGAACTGGGAGTAAGATTTTTTTTAAGATGGGGGAAAAAACTCAACATTATTTGTATGTTGGTGGAAAAGATCCAGTAGTGAAGGAAAAATAATGATGCAGAGAGAGAAGGCAGAATTGCCCCAATTTTTTGAGACTCACTAATTATGACATATCCCCCATTAAAAATAATTTCAATATTTATCCAAAATTTAGAATCATAGTATCTCATACAATAATATTAATAAAATATAATACAAAGAAGCCAATATATATAATGGTTCTAAAAATAAGTATAAATGTTGAATAAACCAATGAATAGTATAATTTTTAAGAGCTGCCCTTCCCAACTCATTAACAGGTACAAATGTTTTCTTTTGCCTTCTTTGCCTTAAGTGGTGTCTTCTAAAACAAAGATTATATTTTAATATTTTTCTTGATCTGAATTGTGGTTGCTGTGTAATATATCCATGAAAAACAAAATCTACTTTCATATTCACATAGTTCTTTGAAGTAGATTACTAAGTCCACACTTTGTTCATACACTTTCAAATCCAGACTTTAGAAAGCGAAACTATTAGCTGAATATTCAGTATAGAAAACAGGTTATCTTATTCAGTCAACTTTGCTAAAATTATATAAATATACTCCCAACTTCAAAAATAATATCTATCCACAAGCATTGTATCTGCTTGTAGAATAACACATGCATCTAGGAGAACTTAAAAACTGTACTTTAAACCACGGATTGGCATTTAAAAAAAGGGCCAGTTAGTAAATACCATAGACTTTGAGGGCCACATAAAATCTCTGTTGCATATTCTCCTTTTTAAAATCCTAATCCCTTACAATCCTTTTTTAAATTTAACAATTTTAAAATGTAAAAACAATTCTTAGGTCATAGGCCATACAAAAATAGGTTTGAGGGCTGGATTTGGCCCATGGGCTATATATAATTTGTTGACTCCTGCTTTAAACAGTTGTGCAAAAGATTAAATATGATCCAGGTAAGTCAAATTTCAGGACTGAAGCTGGACACATTGAAAATTCTTTGTATTCTGCAGAAAGCAGACATATGCCTGTCCAAAAATAGGAAGGAATTTCTACTTGAAATAGCATATTCAGAAACATTCTGTATCTAAAAAGGCAATTGAGCTGTCCTTTTACTGAAAGCCACGGAATTGATAAAATAGCCACTATCTCTGGTTATATAATCAACCCAACTGATATACTTTTCAGGATTATCTCTTAAATACCGTATCAGTAAATAGTGAAATAAAGGGAAAGTATTTAACGTGTTTTAATTTCCCCATTTTAATTTACTGCATTAAAAAAACCCCAAGATGTTGTGCACATGTACCCTAGAACTTAAAGTATAATAATAATAATAATAATAATAATAATAATAATAATAATAAAAAACCCAAGATGAAGCTTCTCGGGAGGCTGAGGCAGAATTGCTTGAACCCGGGAGGTGGAGGTTGCAGTGAGCCGAGATCATGCCACTGCACTCCAGCCTGGGTGACAGAGCGAGACTCCATCTCTACAAAAAAAAAAATAATAATAATAAAAAATAAAAAAGTTTTAAGTTAGGAGAGCTCGAGCTATTTTATTAACTTCTTCTGGACTGTTACATACTCATAAAGGCAATGGATCCTTCCTCCAGAAAAAGAAATACATCCAAACTTTTGCTTTAATTTCAAAGAGATCCAGATTCCCTGAAGCCTATCCATGGATACTGAGTGAAGATATTCTTAACTTAAAAGCACACTAACTTCATTCCTTCAGGTAATTTCACATCAGGTTTCTAAAAAGATAAAACCCTACATAATTATCACATGGTGGTGAGTAAAGTAAAATTACATTTATAGGTAATCTAAACAGCAAGACAATAATCCATGCCTTATGACTGGTGAATTTTTCAGTAATTCAAAACTTCCTTAATGAAGCTTTTCTCTCTCTCCTCACACCAGCTTGTGATTTCTGCTACAGTCTGGCCAGTTTCTCACTCTGCCAATATATGCTGTATTTTTTTCTGCATCAGTTCTCATGAGATGTTACCCTTGCCTGCAGTGTTCTTGCCATACATGTTCAAATCCTGCCTATTTGTCAGGACCCAAATTAAATTCTACCACTTCCATCATTTCTTTTTTGATATTGTAGCCAATAGTTTATTTTCCTGGGATTCACTGCTTTTGTAAACACTATTAAAACAGCGAGTCATATAATAATTTGTGTTATCACACTGTTTTTGTTTGTTCTGAGTATCGCCACCATCGTGCCAGTAACAAAAGGTAGGAGTACTTCTCACCATCATCATCTTAGGCTATAGCACTATTATACATGACATATTTCATAAGTAATTATTAAATAAATGAATTAACTTCAATGGTTTCTGAAAATACTGATTTGGTTGCTCAATGTAAACCTGAATTAGAGGCAAAAATTTAAAAGAAAAAACAACTTACTGTATACTTACAATGTTGTGCAACAACAAAAAACCTCAGTGAAATGAAATTGAGCATTTAATTTTTAAAATTGTATTGTCTGTTAAGTGACAATGCCCAAAGCTAGAGAAAACGCTATAAACTGAAGTGCATGATCATGATTACTTAGTTGTTCCTCTCCACCCCATGGACATGATGGGATAAGAATAAACTGCCTTGATTTTAGTTCAAATTTTGTGGTCTAAATATAGCACTGAATCATAACTGGCTGGCATAAAAGTCTATTTAATGTTCCAGTAGGTCTCAGGCATTTGTTTCATTCAGTGCTAGAATTATTAGTTATCTTCACATAAAATTTTCCACAAGTATAACTAGTCCCAGGCAGCATCGAAAAGAGGTGAAGTCCCTCCTTTACAGCTCCTACGTCACTCTTTTGGCATAATCTTCCTTTAAAATCAGGTGCATTCAACCTGCTCTCTGATGTTCAGGGTTCCCCCTGTGGCACCCTGCCTAGGTTTGTGCTCAGGTCAGACCTCATCCCTATCTTTCTTTTCTTTCCCCTGCCCAAATCTCATGAATATTTACTTCAGTCCATTAAAGTCTTACTAAATAAGTAGGTTATTTCCTATAAACAAACTCATTTTAAGGTGTCTTTATTGTGCTAAAGGAAAGACCATAATGTTGGAAAAACAATGCCTTTAAGTATGAAGGCATTTCACCAATGCCTTTCATATCATATACCTAGGAAGTGCTACTCTTCTTGCATAAAGTTAGCACTAGTTTAGATGAAGTATATTCTATAAATAAAAAGAAAAAAAAGCATGAGATGCAACAAAACCACTCCTAACACATTTAGGAAAAGAGTATCTCGTGAGATTCAGAGGTGAAGAACAGTGAGACTAGACAAGATTTGCAGTTTTCCATATGTAGAACTATTTGTTAGCACACTGTTGTTAATGAAGGTAAGGTTATTCATTAATTCAGTTAATAAAACAGTTGTATAAAGCAGATCTATGCAATGTTTCACAGATGCCTTAACTGTATCAGAAATTGAATTCGTTAATCCCCTGTATCACTAAAGCACAAGCAACAACCCACTTCCTCTCCAGTATTTGGACTTAATGAAGGGCACTGCCATTAACCCCTGCCCAAGTCAGGACCCAGGAGTTATCTCTGGTGTATGATTCTTCATCCCCTCATCCAATTAAGTTCTAACTTGTAAATATCTCTCTATATACCCACCTCTCTTCATCCTCATTGTCACCACACTAGCTCAAGCCCCAGTATCTCTTTCCTAGATTTACTGTGAAGCTTACTAAATTCACACCCTCCCATCCTTCATGATGCAGATTCAGCAATCTCAGAAAAATGCAAATCTGTAGTACATGCATATGACGGAACATTATACAGCTATGAGAACAATTAGCAACCACAGTCAACAATATGGATAAATCTCATAATCGTAATGCTTCACCCAAGTGAATACACATTGTATGCCCCTATTTATATTAAGTACAATGTAGGCAATATCCTCCATATACAGTGAGAAGTCAGGCAAGAGGTCTCCCTTGGTGGGCAAGAGACAGGACTGACTGGAAGGAAAATGAAGGGGAACTTTTAGGATGCTGATATTGTTGTTTTTCTTCATCTAGGTGTTCATCACATAGGTGTGCTAAGTCTGTGAAAATTCACGAAGCAGTATGCTAATGCTTCTATATGTATTAGGCATTAATAAAAAACTTTAGAAAAAAAAATCTGAGCGTCAATGTCTTCCCACTGTTCTCAAGCTAAAGCCCAAAGGCTAGTATCTAATATTGACTTGCAAGATATTTCACCGTACAGTGTCATCTTTCCCTCTCTCCGTGTCTTTTATCTTGAATGTGTTTTGTTCTTCTTCCTTTATGACTCTTACATCTGCTGTGCCCTTAGCTCAAAACACCACCTTGCCTTCTCATTTGGTTTGATTAAATCTAATGTCCCTCAGATTCAGTTAAAATTTCATTTGTGCAACCTGAAATAGATTGTAGTTTTGTTTTCTGACCTCAGATTGGGTTCTGATCACTTCCACTTTCCCACCATCACTCCTCTTTAGCTGTGAGGGCAGGCAATGTGTTTTGTTTACCACTCTATTCTCACAGTTCTCTATAGATTTGATGACTGAATATATTTACTTATATCCTATACAAGGACGTGGCAGGTAGCTGTGGCAAAGTTTCAAAGTCTAAGTACTCCAGTATAAATGATGAGATTGCTAAGAGTGTTTGATATGCAAACTTAAAGGAAATAAAAGTTAAACATTAAATTGTTTATACACAAAAAGATATAAGCCATGCATGTATCTTTCAGGCACAGGGAGAAGTCACTTTTAATGGTTCTTAAATGTATTTGAAAGTTCTATTTTAAACAATATCTATGGTAATAAAACTCTGAAACAAAATCATAAAGTTTTAGTCATTGTCTACACACAGATGTTGAATTGTTTTTAATGTCACGAAAACCAGGAACCTAGCACTGTTTTAATGAATTGAGTGAGGTCAACTAATTGCTTCAGTTTCTTTTAATGAGAAGTCACAAAAATATTTAATATCTATCTACCTCAACTTTTTTGAAAAAAACTATTTACAAATATTTGCAAATATTCCTAAGAAGAATTTAAGCTTTTCTAAATTAAACATAAAATAATTTGATGAATACAAAGTAAAAATATAACTTTTTATTTGTTAGAAATACCCATGGAAAATAACACAGGTGGCCTATCAAGTGGCATTCACAAACTGTTCTTCCTGGATAAAAAAGCAAAATCTGGTCACTTTTTATAATAGCAGAAAAGCATGAGTGATAACTACCTTAAGTGAAAATGTCCGAAGGAATAAAAACAAAACCAAAACTATAATGTTTCAGAAGTCAATACCATTTTCTATAATGAGCTTTATACTATAAATTTTAGAATCTTTAAGCACAATTTAATTTAAATAAAAAATATAAATAGTACAGCTGGGCATGGTGGCTCATGCCTGATAGTCCCAGCTCTTTGGGAGACCAAGGTGGGAGGATCGCTTGAGCTCAGGGGTTTGAGACCAGCCTGGGCAACATGATGAGACCCCCGTCTCAACAAAAAACACAGAAAAATTAGCTCAGCATCTTGGTGCACACCTGTGGTTCCAGCTACTCAGGAGGCTGAAACAGGAGGATGGCTTGAGCCTCAGAGGTCGAGGCTCCAGTGAGCTGTGGTTGTGCCACTGCACTCTAGGCTGGGTGACAGAGTGAGACCTTGTCTCAAACAAACAAAAAAATATATATATGGATATATAATATCATCTATATAAAAGTATATTAATATATTTTACATTTATATATATGTAGTGTTCCAAGTTGCCTTGTTTTCTACTCCTTTCAGAAAATAATTGTCTTTTATATAACATCCTCTATATTTCTTTTTATTCTAATATTCAGTTTATGGTATAAATGCACTAGATCTTAAACTAGGCAGACTTTACTGGTTAGTACCAAGAAAAAGAAAAAATAATATTTCCTTCATTTTGAGAAAAAGGTATTAGTTTCCCTAATTAATACAGAACTTGCTTACTTACCATTTCTAAAGTCCTACTATAACATTAAAAGCATCTTATGATCAAAAAGACCTTAAAATGCCCTTATCACTGAAAACCAACAGGAAGTGTATATAGGCTACTGAAGAATTTCTTTAACTAGGGTTCAGAACCTAAAACTGTCCCAATAATGCCCAGTGTAATGTTTATTAAGGCAATTACCTACTTTTTTAATATTCTGGAAATATAAAAATAACATTATTCACCTATTTTCTTGAGTTTTAGTTTTGGAGACAGAATTTGAAGAGAGAAAAAGGGATTTAAATTATAATGGATAATTCCTTTTCTTTTTAATCTATCTTCAAGAACTTATCACATAGCCTCATACTTTATTGGAAGGCCATTTTAATGTTAACTAGTAGAGTCCACTCAAAGGGCAGAACAGAAGAAAGCATTAGCAAACTAACTGCTCCCATTTAGGCTGGTATTTTCAAGTTTAATTAGTTGAAGTTAAATGTATTTTTCTTTTAAAAATCAGTATGAATTTTAAAGAAATAAACTTTAATTTTCACAAGTATTAAATTTCAAATGAAGATAAGTTAAATTCTTTCAACTTCAGTTTATCAGTAAAATGATCACATTAGACTAGATCACAGTGGTTGTCGACCAAATTTTTTGTTATGAAATCCTCTGAGAATATGATGAAAATATGGACATTCTCCCCAGTAAAAACACATATATACAAAATATGACTGTAATTTTAGGGGATTCAACAGAATCTCTGAAATCCATCCAAGGATCCCCAGGTAAAAAGGGTACTAGATTATATTTCAGGTCTTTTGTAGCTTTAAATTATGGTTTCAGAAATAAGGCAAAAGCCTTTAAACAAAAGGAAGTCAGTCTTGAGAATAAAAGTGAAAAATGCAGACACAACTCATTAGTTTACTCATTGCTGTTGAAGACATTAGCTAAGCAAGGCTGAACATCTTACTTATATAGATGTGTTAATCTGACAAAATAATTCATACCTGAGACATTAGAGGTTAGGCAAAATCAGATTCTTACATAAACCCAGGATATTTCTAGACATGAAAATGTGTGACATTCACAGCTTTCAAATGACAGTAAATTGTCTCCCTCATCCCAACTCCACCATCACCACCAACTCCAATACCTTCCTTCTTAGAGTGAGGAAGAAAAATATATACCGAAAGCTATATTTGAGACCTTTCAGGTGACTGTTTTGGGGGAGGGGCAATATTTTCAAATTCTGAAATTTCTTATTTAGAAATAATTATTGGATCTCACACACACACACACACACACACACACACACACACACACACACACAAACTTACCTGTGGTTCTTGTTCTCTGAAGGAAATGCAGTAATTGAAAACATCCCCACACTCTTGGGTACATTCTCCTAAGTGTGAATGGATTTGGAATGCACCATAGCTTAACTTTGGAACGCTAACTTATGCCACCCTGCACTGGCAGTTGGCATCCACCTGCCTACATAAATAATAATGTAAGCCTGTCATCTTGAGTCATGCACCTTGTGAAGGAAAAGTATTCTCTGGAGAGAGGTGGTGCAATGACTGTCTTTCGAGACAAACAGTCTCTTCTATAGCACTTGAGGGTAGATCCACACTACTAAGGAGGTGACTGTATGCTTCAAAAATGTACTAAAATCAATACATTAAAAATGTTAAAGAATGAAAACGGAAAGATGTTCCTCTGTAAAAGAAGCTCTTAGGAGACTGATTGCTGAACTGGTCAGGATCCAATGGTCAACACCAGAGCTAAGAATTACAAGTACTTAAATACTTGTAACGAAGTAAGCCTAATCCCTGCATTCAGTAGCCTTGTATTTTGTGTTCATGCTTGACTACCAGAGGTTTATGTGACAGATGCAATGGAAACCAATGGTAGGAAAATACCTTGAAATGGCCAAGACCCTGAAAACTGCTGTGGTTACTGTCAAAGGAGAATTAGTTTTCAAGAGAAATGATAGCAGCGTTGTGCTGTTAGATGATCTACATTTTATAAATTCAAGTAATCATTCAAAAATTGTAAAATTTCGTAAACCTTATATCTTAATGTAATAATTTAGATGTAAAATGTTTAAATATGTATGGACTAAATCCTTGCCATTTGAGCCCCTCTTCTGTCTTAAACATACTAGGTCATTAGGAAGAAATGGGCTAGAGATATCTTCTAGTTTACAGGCTGATTTTTGGAGGATTATTAAAATCCTGCGCAGAGAAAGAGATGCTCTATTTTCTAGTCCTCCAAGATTCCAGGCAGCCTGATGATGTCCTCTTCTCAAGTTAAACCAGAGAAGGGTTGTCAGATAAAATATAGGACACCCAGTCAAATTTGAATTTCGAATAAGCAGTAACTTCTTTGGTAAAAGTTTGCCTCAAATATAGCATGGGACAAAATTACACTAAACCATTATTTGTTATTTACTTGAAATTCAAATTACACTGGACATCCTGTTTTGTTTTGTTTTTTCCTTCTGCTAAATTTGGAAACTCTAAACAAGGGGAGTTCGCAGGGTCATCCAGTGGATTTTGGCATGTATGAGGCTAAAATGAGAATTCCACTCATTGTCTAGATCTGAACTGTGGAATATGGTACCTACTAGCCACGTGCGGCTATTGAGCACTTGAACTGTGGCTAGTCCAATATAAGATGTGCTGTGAGTATAAAATACACAGATTTTGAATGCTGAGTATGAAAAAAATCTCATAAAACATTCTATTAATTATATGTTGGAATAATATTTTTGTATATATTGGGTTAAATAAAATGTAATGAAAACTAATTTTGCCTCTTTTTATTTTCTTAATATGGCCATTAAGAACTTAAAATTACATACGTAGCTTCTATTTATGGCTCGAATTATCTTTGTACCATATAGTGCTGGTCTAGATGTCTCCAAAGGCTAGAATTTCTTTGTTGTCCCATCTCTAAAAAAAAATCAGTACGGTAAACACATAAGACTGCTTCTCTCACCTCCCTCCAGCTACCAGAGTAGGTAAAGAGCATGATCATGCCAGGGAAACAAAATTTATAGTAGGGACTAGCATGAACTGGCTAGGAACACTTCAAAAACAAAAACAAAATGTGGCATACAGATACCGATGAAAGACAAATCAGAAACCTGATCTTTGACAAATTCTTACATGATTAGAAAAAAGAAATAAACACTAATATAGGTATGTGTATATGTACACATGAAAATCAAATCTTCTCCCAGATATTAGTTTCAATGGAAGAAGCCCTCGGTACCATTATTTTGGGTTTTCCCTCCTACCTATGATCAAAATCATAGAACAACAGTTGATTTTGTCACCTCCTATGAATTGAGATGGATAAGTTATTAATAAGAATTGTTAAGGAAATGATCTTATTTTTGATACTGTAGATACAGACGGCAAGATCTCATAGATCTCATAGGTCCCCATTTTATTTATACATCCTACAAAACTGATCTGAAATTAGAACACGAGTTCTAGGATAGTGAAATAAACTTTTCTTTTCTAAAGTATGTTGCTAAAATATGTACTATCATAAAACAAAACTCACTTTAAAAAAGGTGTATGTTTAGGGAGACTTCTTAGATTACAAGTATTTTAGTTAGAATAAACCTTTAGTTTGGTTAAGAAATAATAACCTGTTTAGTTATTTCTATAACCCACCTTATAATTTTCATTAGGTTGGAGATTTAATTCAAAGTGTTTTCTCAACTGGCAAAAAGGGATAACATATTTGTCCATTCTATTCTATGCTATTATAAAGGCTAAGATATTTAGCATGCTCTTGCAAATAAAAATTAAAAAAAACTGTACGTATATATAGATTATCTCTATACACCCAATAATCTATATTTCTTTTCTAATAAAACCTACATGATATCTGTTTTGAAGATTTAAATCTTTTAAGTTTACCTGCAGTTATAATAACCAAGACTAGTTCTAACTCCTCGACCATTTACATACAAAAAAAGTAAATTGGTTCTCAAGGTTTTTCAAAAAGGTCCAATTTGTATTTTTTCCTCATTCTAACAGCAAACACACAAGTATTTTTCCTCTTTAATATCTTCTATTATACAGCTATAGGAAGAACAACGGTTTTGAAAAATTATCCTGCATCAGAGGTAGGGTTGCTAGACAAAAATCAGCAGATTACTCCCCACTTTAATGGTCCATAAGAAGTTCACATTTTGTAGAACTAAAGTCTTCAGGATCACTTTAAGAGCTTTAAGAAAAGATAAATGAAAGGGACAAATTTAATGTCTTCACCAGTACTTTAAGTCTCATTGTTAATACTACAGAATACTGGGAATTACAATCTAAAATGTTTTACTAGACATTTAGTCTCTTGTTATTCAAAGTATTCTTGCCTAAGACTGACCTAATCCTAATATTAATGACATTTTCGAAATCAGCATGCTTCTGCTCTTCTCCATAGTCAATTAATGATATCCAAATGACATTTGAATTTAAGACTGGTCATTTTGAGAGACATCTATAGATTATATTAGTTAACAATAAGGTTTTCTGATGTCAGAATTTGGAAGTAAAGCACAGACATTAATTTGCTTATCCTTCATAAGGTTTCCCTGATAGAACCAACATATTTATTCTTCATTTCCTGAAGACAGGAAGAAGTTGTAAGACGAAAAAGAAATTGCCAATTTTAAGTAATTTTTTCAAGTTTTAAGTAATATTTTTCAATTAAGATCTGACATAAAAAATTTTATGATTACATACCTTTTAAAGATTAGATGACCTTTGCTTCCACACTTTCTGAAGTGTAATACAGAATACAAAATGGTTTGAGGGGCTTTCCCTGAAGTAAAGATAAGATACAGCTTCAAAAAGATCATGAAAAGTAATTCTTCACAGCTGGCTCTATCAACTGAAGCTATTATGTCACTAGATTGCCTAAATGGTGTCATTGTTTCAAAATTCTTAATCCATATCTCAAGACATACAAGAAAAATTTTTGATTAACTCCAGCAGTTATTAACTGAATAAATGCAGACTAAACTGGAAGGTTTTACTATGACTGGGATTTTTTTTAAAGTAAAACAAAACAAAAATATCCATACATCCCCAGGACATGCTTCACTTCTAAATAACGAAAAGCACCTCTTGATGAATGTGTGATGTCCTACCCACAGGTAGGGCCTCCCTTCTGTGCGAACGTCTGAAGGTCTCACACCCTCAATGGAGCATTCCAAAACCAGTCTTAGGTTAGGAGCCTGGGCCCACGAGTGTGCACTCACTACACAGTGCTTACCTTTAGAGAACAAGGTGGCTGACACAAACTGATCAAGTTCTCACACCCCACACCTCCAAGAACACTGAAAAAGATCTGCAGATCTTTCTTGGTGCAGGAGGGACCTCTTTATATTCCTCTTGTGGTGGAAGTTTAAGGTTGTCCTAAGGGAGGAGAGAAGAGTAAAAGATTATACTGGGATCAAACTATTTTGATCAAGCTTATCTTCTATATTACAAAATGAAGTTTTGAGAACAGAAATTAGATAAAATCATGAGTATTCTTAAAATCACATTCTCTTCATTCACAAAAATATCTCCTCTAAATACTGCATGTTTCAAATATTACTCCTTAGACCCAAAACCTTAAGTGACTAGTTCAACATCCACCCCCATCACTGGGAAGTTGAGAAGTTGAAAAAATACAGAAAAACTGTAGGTTGCCAAATGATCATAATTATAAATTCCATTTTAAAATATATATACATAGCTAAACTCATTAAAAAGCAATGGGTTAGAGCCAGCGGAAATTCTGTCCTCCCTTTGTATTTCCAAGATAATGGCATATGCTATTTCCTAACAACAGAAAAGTAGCCCTTTGAATTCTGTTAAATGCCACAGAATAATCTACTATAATTAATAAATTAATTTAGTATGAATCAACAGTAGAATCAATCTACTAGAATGTAAAACTCCATGAGGAAAGGAATTTTGGTTTTGTTTTTTGACACACTGATTATCTGTAGTACCTTAAATAGGTCCTGGTACATAGAAAGCATTTTAAAAAATTGCGATGATTAAGAAGAATATTAACCGATTAGTCAATATTCTTAAGGTGAAACTTACATAAAATTAAACAAAAACCTACAAATGTTCTGAGGAGTTTGAAAATATGTTATATAAAATAATACTAATATAGATGTTTAATTATATATTAAATAACTGTTAGGAATACAATATTTTAAGATGCCATATCCTAAAATATTAATGACAAAAATACTATAAATAAATCATTATAATCCAAATTCCTTGAAAGGAATGGAATGCTTTAAGATCAGGAAATCATGCAGAGTATTTTAAAATATATTATTAAATATCAAATATCAGAAGAAGAATATTAATACAGATGAAAAGCAATATACCTTCTTAATGCTTTAGTATTAACTGTTTTCATCCATAGAGAGTAGATCGATATAAATAAAGTGATAAAATGGTTGTCTATAGCTATAATTCTGCCTAAGTAAATCATTACCATAATATTAAATTAAAATCAGAAGATGCCATTCTATATTTCCTTATGTATTTTCGTATGTACATTTTGTCTGACTATAATAAACAGAATATTATTCATTTGTTTTCCTTTAACTTTTAAACTATTATTAAAAACACAGAGACTTATTTCCTTTAAATGTTTTCCAACTGTTTCCAAATTTGATAAATTAGAGAGAAAAAGAAGAAACGCTGGCCAGGTGTGGTGGCTCATGCCTGTAATTCCAGCACTTTGAGAGGCTGAGGCTGGCGGATTACGAGGTCAGGAGTTCGAGACCAGCTTGGCCAACATGGTGAAACCCCATCTCTACTAAAAATACAAAAATTAGTTGGATGTGGTGGCAAGCGCCTGTAATCCCAGTTACTTGGGGGGGCTAAGGCAGGAGAACTGCTTGAACCTGGGAGGTGGAGGTTGCAGTGAGCTGAGACTGTGCCACTGCACTCCAGCCTGGGTGACAGAGCTAGACTCCGTCTCAAAAAAAAAAAGAAAAGAAAAAGAAAAAAAGAAAAGAAAAAAGAAAACAAAATGAAGAAATGCTGAAATCAACATTTGATTAATGGTACTGATAAAGGACTGAATGTGTATACTTTAAAAAAATCTAACATGTAAGGCCAGTAGAATCAGAAGAAACAACTATTTATAAAGTACTTGATTTCATTTGACCCCAAAATCTGAAAATGTAGAATTAAAACTCAAAACATACTGGACAATGTGTATGGTGCATTTCATTTCAGAGTATAAAATACCATTTGCTGTATGGTCAAAACCACAGTAAGAAAACAGGTAGTAAACTTGGGATGTATGTCCACCCTTCATCACTAAAATAATGCTTTAATGGACAGATTATGCTTTGATTACAGGCAATAAAAACCTTTCCACATTTCACAAATAATTCAATTTTATATCTTGTCTCAGGGAATCAGGTTTAAATGTGAAAAAGAGATTTAAAACAAAACTTTAGACTAAAGAAATAAGTGTACACAAAAACTCACTTAATTTAAAAACAATTTTCCTATTTTCAACATGCTGTAAGCCTTTGAACTAACTTTGGGGGGAAGGGGTGAAAACAGTTACAAAGTACTAAGTGCAGATAATACGACAAAAAGAGCTAAAAAGGGGTAAAGACCAACCCAAAGTTGGAAATCTTACTGAAAGGAAAAGACTACTAAGCTGGTTGAGTCTCCCAGGCCAACAAGGGCGAAAAGGGAAAACAAACTCCCTAGACAGAGGAACTGACTAGAAACTTACTCATGCTGTGGATAATGGATCCCTTGCCTCATTTCCACCTGCAGAAGATGAAGTCTAAGTTTACCATATTCAGAGATTTAGGGCTGAATTTTTCATTTCACCTGCAAATACAGATTACTAAGCCATACTAACATCTCATTTTAAGTTCCCTACAAAACTTCCCTGAGCAATCTACTTTCCTTCTTTAATGCTGGCCAATGTTTCTCACGCAATCTGTAGTGAAAGACTGTTTTCTCCCTTTTGGGGACCCAGGTTCATGGACTACCGTCATGACTATACTCAGCTCACTTTGCATAAAACTCTCCAGGCAACTGCGTTAAAACTACTGGCCTGAACTTCAACCGGGGAGACAGGTGATGTGCCTGAATGACACAAATATCACATGGCTGTAAGAGTTTCTAAACCAATATAGAAATTGAGAGTAAGCATTTAGTCATGGATTGATTAACAAACCAGCACCAGTTCATAGCCCATTCTTCAAGGAGCACTGGTGTAGGTCATGCGCAGTGGCTCAAGCCTGTAATCCTAGCACTTCGGGAGGCCAAGGCAAGTGAATTATTTGAGCTCAGGAACTCCAGACCAGCCTGGGAAACATGGAGAAACCCCGTCTCTACTAAAAGTACAAAAATTAGTCAGGAGTGGTGGAACATGCCTGTAATTCCAGCTACTTGGGTAGCTGAGGCAGGACAATCACTTGAATACAGGAGGTGGTGAGGCTGCAGTGAGCTGAAATCACACTACTGCACTCCAGTCTGGGCGACAGAGTGAGACTCTATCTCAAAAAAAAAAAAAAAAAAAAAAAAAAGCACTAATCTAAGTTACAGGAGTAGGATCTTATGTTACTCTTCCTTTATACTTTTTACTGAATCCAATTTCCAGTTTTAATTCTCATGTGCCCTTAGAAACTACTGACAAATAAACTATCAGTGACTGATTCCAGTATATTCCTTTTACCAGTTCTTTCTACAACACTGTACAATAGAACTTTTGGCAATGGCAAAAATGTTCTATAGCTTCATTGTTCGAAAAGGCAAACATTAGCCATATATGACTACTGCTCATTTGGAATGTGGCTAGTGTGATTAAGGTACTGAATTTTTAATTTTACTTAAACAGATGTAAGTTTAAATTGCACATCAGGCTGGTGGCTACCATACTGAACAGTACCAGTACAATGCTGAAGTGTTACATTATTGTCATGTAACCTTTTAAAAATTTAGCATTTTAAAAAAATTACCTATTTCCTTCAATCCTAACACAAATATTTTAATTATGACTATCACTTTCCATACGTACATTTAGTTATGTACATACTTGTAATCATGGCATATAAATTTACTATTTTATTTTCACTTATACCAAACATTTCTCTTTATTTCTGGAACTACACTATCTAAAATTGTGGCCACTAGCCCCATTTATCTATTTAAATTTAAATAATTAACATTAAATTAAAAATTCAGTTTCTCAGTTGCCCTAGCCACATTTTAAGGGCTCAGCAGCCACATGTGCCAAATGGCTACATATTGGATAGTGCAATCACAGAATATTTCTATCACCACAAAGCTCTCCTGAACAGTGTTGTTCTATAGTCTCCAAAAATAATCATTTAAATGTAATATTTTATGTTGCTGTTCTATAATTAGTTTTTAAGCTGGGCATTTTATATATATATATATGTAAAATAATTAGCATAGTGTTTCCTAATATGTTATTATGAAATTTCTAAACATTATTGTGACTCTCAGCATGTATTACTGCATTATTTCCCAAAAGGGTCTGTTAGCACTGCTTACTTGCAAATATTAGATTTCTCTTTTTAAAAATTTATGTCCTTTAATACAATGAAAAAAACCTCATATTTCTTTATTATTCATGTGTCTTTACTTTCATATTCTTAATCTGTCATATTCATTTCTCACTTATGTATTATAATCTTGATATCTAAACTTGCATATTTACAACAATATATAACTTATACCTATTATCACTTTCCTTATAATTTTTAATGTAGTTTCCACAATTTTCTATTATCCTTTTAATCATAATATTTTGGTCCAACAAAAATTTTTAATATTCAAGTATCTTCTGGGTGAGTTCTACTAATTCTTCAAATATGAGATGTAAAGGTATTCTCTCTGTTACCTTTTCTTTTTTATTCCTATGGTTGTGTAATATACGGATGATTTTTGTCTAATTAGTTTTAAGACATATCACTGAATAGTACTATCCAACACCACTGAACAAATATCCTTTAAGTGCCCCTCTCTTAGGAAAGATTATTTTGTCATACATTTAGTTACTGTATATGATAACAGATGGGACAAATTTTGTATTCCTCATAGTGCTCCAGTAATCTATGTTTTACAAAATGAAAACAAGCTTATTTGTTCAGTATTCCTCTTAAGAAAACAACTGTATTAATTCAGTAAAGTATGAGTAGAAGAAAAGAATGAACATAGATAGCATGTTCCACTCAAAAATTAAGAAAATCATTTGCTGGTCTATCACCTATTCAGGATTTCTTAACTCACAAAATGTTAAATGTTTGAAACTAGTAAAGGGGCTGGTTTCACATATGTATTGACACTGGCAGAAACCAAGGTGGCATGCAAGCAGAGGCAGAGAAACTAAGGTCTGAGTCAGCCACAGGGATTTGTGTAAGTCACGGGATCCAGGCCATGTCTCTTGACTCTCACCGGCCATGAAGTCGGGCTTCAAGGGAAATTTACTTTGTTTTTTTTTTTTTTTTTTTTTTTTTTTTGAGACAGTCTCACTGTCGCCCAGTCTGGAGTGCAGTGGCACAATCTCATCTCACTGCAACCCCTGCCACCTGGGGTCAAGTGACTCTTCTGCCTTAGCCTCCCGAGTAGCTGAGACTACAGGCGTGCACCACCACACCCAGCTAATTTCTCTATTTTTAGTAGAGATGGGGTTTTACCATGTTGGCCAGGCTGGTCTTGAACTCCTGATCTCAAGTGATCTGACCTCCTTGGCCTCCCAAAGTGCTGGGATTACAAGCGTGAGCCACTGGGCCTGGCCAGAAAATGTATACTTAAATCTCCAACAGACAGAGAAGTCTCTTCTGGTATCTGGGTAACACACCTATTCTTACATCATCATCACTGTTTTAGACATTCTTGCTTTAAAACCTTTTGATATTTAGTAGGACGAGACTTCTCATTACAGAATCACTATAAAATAAATCACTAGAAATTTTGGAAGTTAGAGGTTAAACCCAAAAATCTTACTTTTAGTCAAATAATTTGCCAATATTCTTGATTTAGAAACAGTTTCTCTGCTTTTATTTGAATCTTAAAATTGTTTCAAATACACTGGATGTTAATTTATTTTCCAAAGATCTAACATCTCTCTCAAATGTATTGCTAGATATTACATCGTTTGTTGCAATTCTGAATGGGATATTTTCCCAGAATGATTTTCACATGGTATAAAGATACAGTATATCTGGTACTTTATTAAATTTTTATTATTTAATAAATCATTTTAGAGCTGATTGCTGTAGATTTTTCTAGATAATTAATCATGTCATCTACAAATGAAATATTTTAGTTTTATTTCTTCTTCAGGTTTTGTTCATTACCAGTATTAAATAAAAATGGGGTTAGTGATGACGGGTGGACAAATTTGTAACAAAAATGGTGATTGTTTCATTCCTGAATTTAAGTTTATCACCATTTATTCTACAGCTTTGGTTAGATGATACTGTTCAGCTTGTTGATTTAATGAAGTATCATGTTCTTTGAGGCTCAACTCATCACTCACAGTTATTTCATCACAAAATAATGTATTTGACCAAATAAAACTGGCAAAAGGTCTCCAACTCCTATAGGACCAACACTGTATATATGTTGACTACATAAAATTATCCTGATACTGACAACGTTCATTAAAATAAGAAATATCTTTATTCTGTGAAAGTCCTCAGAGTCACATGTAAAATAGGTACTCAAGGTGCTATGTGGTCCTTGCAGTATCTCAAGTTACCTTTGGAATGTTACACTAGGTATTAACAGATGATATTTAAGACACCAGGCTTCTTTCCAGTATACATTGTTTCAGATAAATCAAAAAGGTGTAATTTATGAAGGAAACTTCTTCTTACAGAAGAATTTCCACTAATAAATGTGTAAGGGGTGGCAGATTTAAAAATTCATTCTCTTGCAAACCCTAATGACAGAATTGATTTGGAGAACAGTCAGCAACTTTTCCCACGGGAGGAAAGATTGGTAGAAAACTCTCAATAGAGAGATTGGGTTGGCACCACTGCCCAATTTTAGCATTGATAAGAGTATGACAAGCAGACATTATATGCTCCTTGATGTGATGCAGTATGAAGAAACAGTTCCATGTGCAAAGTATTCCTGCATGCCTTCCATCCTCAACACCAAAACCAAAGCTGAACCTGAAACTAATTAAGTCTTTCAAGCCAACTTTTAGTTCGCAGGAAATTCAGAGGCTACAGGAACAAGTTAGAAGGCAACAGAGAAATCCAGAATGGAGGATATTCTACAGGATAGTTTACCCAGTTTTTTCATTAACACATTAAAGGGAAAAGGGGAGGGAAGGAGGAAGAAGGGGGTTTGGGGGTGAGTGAGGTAAACAAGTGGTGGGAAAGAAAAGACCTTTTAATTATACAGCAGTCCAAACAACCAAATGCTATACAGATCTTGGTTGGATTCTGAAAGAACAATCTAAACGTAAAAAGGACATTTTTCAGTTAAAAGCAGAGAAACTGAATACAGAGAGAATATGAGGTGGTTAGTAGTTATTGTTAATTTTGTTGGATGTAATAAAGGTATTGTGGTTATATAAGAAAAATTCCTTCTTTTAAAGAAATGCATATGAAAGAATGCAGGAGTGAAAAGACTTGAAGTCTGGGATCTACTTTAAAAATAGTTGAGGAAAAAGAAGAGAGTAGATGAAGCAAATGTGGCAAAATTTTGCTGATTGTTAAATCTAGGCCATGGGGTTTATTACACTAGTCTCTCTTAAGTGTATGCCTGAAATTTTTTACACTAAGGTTTTTTTTTTTTAATTCAAGCCTTTGGAACATCATCTATTAAGCCAGATATATTCTAGTACAAGTAAATATGGAATTACCTACTCTACTATATAACGAACATTCACGAGCAGTACAAAACAAGGATGCAAAAGATACGGCAGACTGCCCTGTGTGTGACTGGCACAGATTGACCCACGCTTTAAAAGATTTATTTTAAAATTAAATTTGACTTGCACATACTGTTACTGTGTGTGTGTAGAAAGAATATATGTGTATATATATGTATATATATATACACACACAGAGAGAGAGACAGACAGACAGAGACAGAAAAAGAGGAGAATTGGTTAAGTTTCAGTCCAACAATACCTTAGGAAAGAGAATATCAGAAAATGAAATAATTTGTACCCTCAAAACAAACAAACAAAAGAGATGACAGTTTATGGGGTATACTGAACCAGTACAAAGTAGGTTATTTTATGTTGTTACCTTCCTACCTCCATTTCTCAACAAAAGCATGCTGCCTTCTGATTTTATTAGAGCATATTACTTGGGTCTGCATTCTCACAAATTATCTCATGATTCAAATGAGTCCTTCTGTAACTAACTGATACTCCCCTCTCTAAAAGAGACCAACTGGTCTCAGCTACATAATAGGAGTATAAACTGTTACAGCCTCACTGTGCCAAACATAAAATAACGGGGTATTTTATACTTAGTAGGTACTCAGGTATTTAAGTGAATGATAGGTATATGTATCAACAGAAATATTTGAGAGATTTATACGCTCCTCTTAAAAATGTAAATGCATTTCTACTGGGTAAAGTACATGGCAGAAATACATTTGAACTAGAAAGACTTTCTTATATCCCTTGTGTATCTACCACCTGCACATCCACCACTGTTCTAGTGGTTATCATGTATCCCCTCTTATACAAAGTATGTTACAGTGTAAGATGGGATTGTCTGTTTGTCACCTTATTTTCACAACAATTAGGTTATTTTTTGCTGGTCCTTGACTTTACTTTTACCGTGTTAATGATTACTTAATGATATATAAGATTTTTTCCCCAATACACCGCAGTAAGCAAATCCTCCCAAGAAAAAAAAGTTTTTCTTTACGCTAATTGAATTTTCTTATAAACTTGTCTTCTTTCATATCATTGCATGTTAATATTTAATATTATATATTTAATATTACATAATTGTATCTTTTCCCTAAAAATGTTTGCATTCAAAACCCTTGAAAATATTTTAACATCTAAAATACAGTAATTCAAAATATAGGTAGTCTTAAATCTTCTACTAAGCCTATAAAGGGCATCTATTTTAACTCTCATTTTTTATCTGAAAAATTATTCTAATTATGACTATGTTAGCATCTAGTAGTTCAATAAGCACAGCAACTAACTTCTGATGAGTATGTATGTATGAGTATATACATATACTTTTTTACTCAATGTTCACTTGATGCTAAACCTATCAGAGCATAGACCTCCACGACACTAATAAACAACTGGATAATATAGTGGTGCTTCAGTGAGCAGATCACAAATACTCTCCCGCCTTTTTAGGAGTAGTGATTCAGTGAGAACATTTGGTAAAGCAGACGTGAGTATACATACATCCAATATATATGTATTATCCATATATTATATAATGTATATATTATATATGGATATTTATATTATCTGTCTATGCATAATATATACATACTATATATATGTATGATATATGTATTGTGCTTGTTTTAGTTCCTTTCCCTTAAAATGCTAATCTGCTGTTTAATGAATTGGTAAATTATTCTGAGAACTCATGACACTGTCTGAAGAACTAGAAATGCCCTCTAGTGTTGCCAACAGCAGAGTTTGTAATGACTGCTGTCATTATTTAAAATTCATTTATAAAAAGTTAATTCAAAGGTAAACAAATTATTTAGTACATGTTGAAACTTTATTTAAAAAGGAATTTTAATCAACAAGAAAATGTCTGAAAATGAGGCACACTAAAGGAATTTCATGTTTCCCTTGTGAAGTTAAAAAACATTACACTTGACATTAATGAAAAGATCGCAAAGTGATGCAGAAACACTAGATAATTTATGTGGGAATATCTGAGAAGCCTTGAAATAGTACATGTAAAACTCAATTTGAAGGGCATTATACAAAATAATTTTTAGAATAGAATTCTTTTACTCAGTAAATTTGGAAATTAAAACCACCTTAATGAATTCCTCTCATTTCAATTTGGGAAAGAAATATTGGATGGCCATGTGTGTATACACACGATATATATAATAAGGGTACTGAGATGCTAAGATGGCCTCATAATTGTAACAGGTTCATATATCTAAGATACCTCTGTTTATTAGTGGCAGAGCAGGAACTAGTGGCAGAGCAGTCTCACATTTTGTGCTTTAAGTATTCTTTACATGGCTCTTGTCTCCCTAGAGCCTAAGTAGAAGGATAGCATAATTCTTTTAGGCTACCATGATACTATATTAATAGCTAGTGGTTTTCAATAGACAACTGTTGACTGGTTACATTAGAACTAATTGTGGTCATGGGAAACCATACTTGTAGTACTGAAATAATTTTCTCTCATTCAGCATCTTACAATGAAAAAAAAATTCTGTATTGCAAAAAAAAAAAAAAAAAGACACTAGGTTATAAAGTATCTCTAGATGGCATCTCTAGAAAGCCTTTGAGTGACTGCTGAAATTCAGCTAAAGAGGCCCCAAAGCTTAGATGAGAATTTCACGGACTTTTTTTTTGTTTAGCAGTAATAATAAAAGCTCTTTACATACCACTCTGAAATATATATTGTATGTATTTTAAGCATCATCTGCAATTATTTCCGTTGGCACAACTTTATGAATGAAGCAGGATATTTTTAAGATGAGGAAATTATTATTGTAATTATTAACTAAAACAACATATGGAGCCCTTTCTATGCACTTTCCATATGCTAGATACTCTTCTAGCATTTTCATATATCAAATAATATATTTTTCCACAAGATATATACTCTTATTATCCCCATTTTACAGGTAAGGAAACTGAAGCACAGTAGAGTTATGCAGGTTTCCTAAGACTGCAAAGCTGGTAAGTGTCAGAGTTAATACTCACACCCAACCAGTATGACTCTGGAGCCCAACTTCTTAACTATTACAACTTGGTAGTTTTAAATGTAAAACTGCTTCATATAATTGTCTTAAATGACGTTTATAATGTATATAATATGCATGTGTTTATTCTGCTCATATTCACGTTTCTTGGTATCTCAGAAACCTGCAGATCTTTCCACAGCAGTTTCTCATTTTAAATAAGTTATACAAATAATAAGAACTTTTTCAGTCTCTACTAACTGCAAAGAACGTCAGTCTAATTTTTACATCAAAATGAACAACCTCATTTCATGAGGAGTATGAGCGGATTAAAATTAATATACTACAGATCAATTGCAAGGTATACTTAAGGACTGCTTTGTTTTTATAATATCATAAGCCACTATACTTTATTGTAATTACTTGCTTAATGTCTACATTCCCTGCAAGACCTATGGCATCACATCAGTCTTATGCAATGACTGACATACAGCAGGTTGTTGGTAAGAATATACTGAATGAATAAATGTGATTTGCTATTCTATCTGTTAAATTTATTTAATAATGATCTCACTATAAATAGTAGCTCAGTATTTTTAGTAATAACTATTGCACATAAAGTTTTACATATTTATAATTGTCAATATGATGATTTTACGAGATGTGACATAAATTTCCTTCAAATAATCCTCGTGACTTATATCAGCAGGAACTCCTTCTTTTTAACTTCTTCATAACTTCTGCCAAATTCTTAAGAATGGATGTAGAAAGGCACCCCATTTTATTTCTACATTTAAAAGGTTCTTTCTCATATTGAACTAAAAACATTATTTTCCTTTCCATATCTATAAACAATAACTTTTATTTAAATTTTTCTCATTCGAACTTCCAATTCATTTCTTCTAACACCACTGTAATTCGCAACTCATTTCTTCTGAGAGTAGAAACTGCCAAATTCAAAACAAAAGCCATTACACTCCAACATACACAGCCAATCAGACACTGATTATTTCCTATATTGAGAAGTTATATAATTAAAAACTGATGACTATTGGTAGAATTTTGTTTTAGAAAGAAGTCAATTCAAATTCATTTTGATAAAAGAAATGCTATGTATCATCCTCCATCTGCAATATTTACATAATTATGTGTCTTAAATATCTTTTTGTGGCTAAATACCAAATTCTCCACTGGGCATCATGAACCCATCAAAGCCAACTAAACAGAACCAAAAAGAGCTGTCAAAGAAAAATGAATATCATGTACATTCCAAAGCACGTTACCCAGGAAGGAATATATTTCTTCAAGACACTCTTTCTGGAAGGTATGGGAAGGACATCTTTCTCCTAGCACTGACAAGGGGGACTGCCTGGATCTCTAAGTTGAGATCTTCAAATCAGAATACTTGAACTCAGGTTGGTGACTTTGAGTATATCCAGAAAAAAACTAAATTTAGAAGTCACTGCGGAGATGAAGCATAAACATTCAGACATCCAAATGCTCTTTGGATTTTATTTTCCAAAACGTAATCAACATGTATGCTTCTCTGTGTGTGTGTGTGTGTGTGTGTGTGTGTGTGTGTGTGTGTGTGTATGAAAAACATAAATGTCACATTCCCTTCTTTAAAAAGATAAAAAGATATAAAGTTGACTTGATTAAGGAAAATCATACTACCTTTAAAAATGTCTGCATGTAACAATTTTAAATTCAGTTGAGGAAATCAGTGTCCCTCTTCAGGGCTTTCCTTCTTGAAATCCTGTAAGAACTCTCCCGTAAGTGAAATTCTCACGTAAGAATGCTGCTTTGACAGGGTTTTGTTGTAAATTCTTAAGAAATCTAAGAAAATAGAATAGCAGCATAAAAAATGTATTTCTCTATGGTTAGAATTTAGTCTTTCTGATGCCTAGCTTAGCAGATATTAATAGAATTAACTTTAAAAGTTCAAAAGCAAGTTATCAATTCAATCTAATAAATAAATGTGTAGGTTCTGTGCTTTATTTATACACTAACTTTATTGTTCCTACCCTTATAGGAACTTATGCCATTTTATAGTATTGGTTCCAGTTGCAGTGTGTAATTATTATCTACACTGTAATTACCATTGGCACTGGAAGTTCAATAACAGGGAATATCTGTTTTTAACCCCACCATTTTATTCTCAGCACCTACCTAAATGGGTGACACATAGTAGACAGACTATACAAGTATGAATTACTAGACAGAGGGACTAAAGTATGAATGTTGCCATCTCAAGTACTTAGTTCACTGTAAACATTGGAATGATTACATAATGACAGATGCTGTGCTGGGTGCTTGTCACAAGAGCTCTTCCTGATATGTTTGTTATTAAGCTCTAGAAAACAGCTAAGAACATGGCCAGATTCAATTAACATAATTTTGACATCTCTAATTGGGCATGAAAAATTACTTAAACTATGTGAATCGCAAAAATCACGTATTTGACAATAGAATGGTTAACAGAATTATAATCTATTATTAATATGCTAATCTTCATCAGCCATTACCTTGTTATCACAAAACTACTATGTCCGTGGACATGCTGGAATAATCTCAGATAAACATCAATCTTAAAGATTTCAAACTTGCTAAGATCCTACCTCCACTCTTGTCCAAAGCTAACATGACTAATCATGGATCTGATTGGACACAGATGCCCAAAAAAAGGGATATGCAGGAATCAAATATATTCAGGAGAAAAATATAAATTTAAGGTCATCTGAAGTATATGAAAATGTAACCAAATTTAGAAATTATTTTCTCAGTGGGAGTATGTGTAAGGCAGGAGAGAGATGTCTGATTTTATCACCAAAATTTGATTCTGCGCCATATTATGAACAGCTACTTCACTTTGTTTTGGGTATAGAGTATAAACGTCTTATCTTACAAATTTAATAGTTTCCGCCAAAGTATAGTAGCAATTATACATTTTTAAAGAACTAATGTTAAACTAAATGGATTTTGTCATATGATATTATACTTTTTTCTTTCCTATTTTATAATGAAAGTAAAAAACCAAACAGCATTCAACAGACTACCACAAAATGCATGTCTATTTTAAGAAGCACTTATGAAACTGAACAGAAAAACTCAGTTTAGTACAAATTTTTTAGAAGTTAAACTTCAGTCAAGCAATTTTATAATATACTATTTTAAATAACTACAATAAAACTACAAAAATTGAATTTTTAAACCAGACATGAACTATATAATTGATTTTCCATACTTTTATACTATTTATCAACATTAAGTATGTAAAATCTCTTATCTATAAAACCATTCTTTGCATATATTTTATTAAAATATAAGTGACAGACATATAAAATTCAAACACTTGTCATTATGTCCTAGATTTTAAAAGTTCTAAAATTTTAATTCAAATATAATACATTGGTAGGCTTTACACACACACACACACACACACACAATTTAAATGAAAACTCTTACCATTGACTTCCTTTTGATAGTCACTCCATTAGTCTTTCTTGATAGTGCTTTCCTATGTCAAGCAGACAGTAGCCAAATCACAAAATGACATTTGGATGATCATGTCTTCAGATGGGAGTTTTCGGCCAATTGCCAGTTGAGAATTTAAACTGAAAACTAAATTACCCAAACTTTATTAAGTTGTTCCCACACCCACCAACTGATAAGAGCAATAACTCTAAACTGGAAAATAACGTGAATATGATTTGCCTCCTGTTCAAGCAGTCCTAATATTATATTTGAGAAGACATGCTATAATAAAAGAATCCCATAAAATTCTAGTATCTTCTGAAAACGCTTTTAAGAAAATTTCAATCCCTCACCAAAAAGTTACCCCAATTATCCTATAACCCAAATTAATACAAGATAAAAATGGTATTAGATTATATAATAAATTATTGAGTCACAAACTTAGGTTCTGTCAAGCACTGCCTTCACCTAAAAGCTAACTGTAATGTCTGGAAACACTCTGACAGTATCATCTATATTTATATTTATTAAATCATCAACTACTTGTAATAGTACATACCACAAGAAGTTAGAGGTTACACTTTAGCGTAATCCTGCCTGATCATGATACTTTTTGTACTGGGAAGACAAAATTTATCGTTACCAACTTCTAATTATAATATAAAAATGACTCAGCTCCTTTTCTGTACCAATTTAGGTTCTTTTTCTCTTGATTCTTACGGCTACTCTTCATAGGGCCTGTCATTTATATACGATTTTTGACCATAGGCTTTATGATTATTGGGTTGTACAGTCTGTTTTGATCCTTCTCAAGTATTAGACACATTAAATTATTCCCAAATGTTAAGATATATCTCAGTGTCCTAACATACTTTGTGCTCAGCTATAAGTTGGCCCATTTCAATAGTTATTGACAATTTAAGTCTTTAGCAAAAATACAATCAAATAAAGCTAAACTGAAAACATGAAGGAAAGAAAAACACGTCCTTATTTTCCTTAAAAAATGTTTCTGAATTTCAACTATAAAAGGTGCAAAATTAAGTGTACATAACTAGATAGCTATGTAAGACTCAGATGAGTTATAAACATTACACACACCTCAAATTCTCATATATTCTATGTGCAATCCTTCTCTCTCTCTCTCACATACATGTGCATGTGTACACATGCATGCATATCTATCCAGCCTATTTCTGATGTTTACCTATCAATAACCTGATACCAAGGCA
Source organism: Homo sapiens (assembly GCF_000001405.40). Lineage (NCBI taxonomy): Eukaryota > Metazoa > Chordata > Mammalia > Primates > Hominidae > Homo > Homo sapiens. Next base: position 31,371,935 of record NC_000010.11, on the reverse strand, counting down.
TTATATAAGAGAATATAAAGTGAATAATCCACTTATGATTAAGAGAAACTGACTTCAGAAACAAAGCCTAGAGCTTAATAAAACTGCTATGTCTTTGAGTTAATAACACTGACCCTCAGTTAGATATACTAGAAATAGCATTATTCTATTCATTCCAATAATTTAAATCCAAAATTCTCAATAGCAATAACACTTATAAACTATTCAGAGACTAACAAAGTTCTTTCCTGGGTGCTATGAGATATAAAGGAAAGGAGCTTATAACCTAAAATATGATGGGGGAGAGTGAGTGGTACATAAAGACACAGAAATGGATAGATTTCCAAGAGAGAAACAAGCACATTGAGGCAGTTTAATAGTTTGAATAGATTTATCACATGTGGGACTGATCTGAGAAGACTTTATATCAAGAAGCATTTTTTAAAGCAGAAAATACATAACGACGTTTTTCTTATTTAGCCTAATGAAACCCACAAAGCAAACTGTGATTAATACGGAATATAGCTATGGAAGTATTCATGTCCTCACTCTGGGAGAAGACCAAAGATAAATTCCTTAGTCAAATGAAATTACAGAACACAGAGATATCTCCTCCAACAACCCCCACCAAAAAATAAGGCTTTCTGTATTTCAGAAACAATTCTAAATTGCTCATTTCAACTCTTCCCAATGATTCCAATCATAATGGCTGTGATGTAATTATAAATCAGGAGACATAATGAAAAGTCACTATCAGATTACAAAATCATGAATTAAAAACCACAGAATGATCCTCTCGGTGTGAATAACATTACTGATAACACATCTACACAAGAAAGCTGGTTTCATGTTCCAGCAGACGATGATCATGAAGTGACTTGTGTTTTTATATAATCTTAAATATATTCTACTCATCCATTATAAGAGTCTTACAATTTGGCCAGGCATGGAGGCTCACGCCTGTAATCCCAGCAGTTTGTGAGGTCAAGGTGGGGAAGACTGCTTGAAACCAGGAGTTCAGACCAGCCTTGGCAACAAAGCAACACCCAGTCTCCGCAAAAATTTTTTTAAAAACAGTCTTAGAATTTAACACCACACACAATTTTACAAATAAAGAAACAGGTCCAGTCATATGACATTATTTACCCAAAGTCACACAACTAGCTGGCAGAAAAATCAAGACCTCTTAAGAACCACAGATGCTCCTTTTACTATAATCAAAGAAAGAAAGAGTTACACCTTAGAAAGAGATACAATTTTATTAGGAAAATTTCAACTTTTTAACCTACATACTCAATTTCAGACATTCACCTCATTAGCTCCGGAAATTGCAAAAAGTCAATTCATAAAGTTAGGGAAAGAAAGTTGTATGATTAACTTAAATTTTACACTTCTCTTTTTATACTATTAGCTTTAAGACATACATTCAACCTTATTTCCAACTCTTCAGACTAAGAATATGAGTTTTAAAAATACGTAAAATTTTTATCAAAACTCTCTCTAAAAATGGTAATTCCCTAGAATGTTCCATGGCATCACATCTATTTTTCGATCTCCTGACCTCGTGATCCACCTGACTTGGCCTCCCAAAGTGCTGGGATTACAGGCGTGAACCACTGCGCCCGGCCATCACATCTATTTTTCTTTCACATCCTGGCACCCTTTTTCATTGGATTGGGTAACAAAGTAAGCCTGCCATATGGATATCAGTAGAAACAGTCTTATCTTGACTGCTTCAGGTGACATAACTCATCCCAATTCTATATAAATGAGCAGCCAGAGAAGTTCAGGAAATTTGTAAACAGGAAATATAAAAAGAAATATCTGCAAATCATACATTTAATAAGGGGTTAATATCTAAAATATTTAAGTAACTCCAACATCTCAATAACAAAACAACAAATAACCCAATTTTTAAAAATGGGCAAAGAACCTAAACAGGCATTTCTCAGAAGACACACAAATGGCCAACTAGTACAAGAAAAAATGCTCGGCATCACTAATTACTAGAGAATTACAAATTAAAACCACAATGCATTATTACTTTACACCTGTTAGAGTAGCTTTTATCAAAAAGATGAAAGGTAAATGTTGGACAGTGTGTGGAGAAATGATAACTCTTATACAGTACATTGTTGGTGGGAATGCAAATTAGTTCAGCCATTATGGTAAATAGTATGGAAGTTTCCCCCAAAAAAACTAAAAATAGAACTACTGTATGATCTAGTGATCCCACTTCTGGTTATATAGCCAAAGGAACTGGAGTCAGTATGTCAAAGGGATATCTGCACTCCTATGTTCATTGTTGCATTATTTACAATAGCCAGGATACGGAAACACCTAAGTGTCTATCAATGGATGAATCAAGGAAATGTGGTATATACAGACAATGGAATACTATTCAGCATTTAAAAAGGGGAAAATTCTGTCATTTGCAACAACATGGATGAATCTGGAGGATATTATGCTAAGTGAAATAAGTCAGGCAGAGAAAAACAAATACCATATGATCTCACTTGCATGTGGAATCTAATAAGATTAAATTCATAGAAGTAGAGAATAGAACAATGGTTACCAGAGGCTAGGGTAGGAGGGTGGTGGGGGGAGTTGATCAAGGGGTATGAAGTTTCAGGTAGAGAGGAAGAATAAGTTTGAGATCTATTCCGTAGCAAGTTGACGAGAGTCAATAATAACGTTTTAAGTATTTCAAAATAATAAAAGCAAATTTCAAATGTCTCAATATGAAATATTATAGGTGAGGTGACAGATATGTTAATTAGCATAAGCACATCACACTGTATACATATATCAAAACATCACATTGTACCCCATAAATGTATGCAATTATGATTGGTCAATCAAAAATATTAATTCTACAAGAAAAATAAACAGGAGATTAAAAAAAGAAATAGTTGAAACACTTTAGATTTAGTTGTAAAGATATGTCCTCCACTAACTCAATTTAGATTCCACTGTCTGTTCAAAGTCAGAACTTACAAGATGTTTCTAGCAAAGCACAACATGCTTGTTAGTTCAACTGGTTTCAAAAGTCAGAGCACTTATTAGGCAACACCTAAAATCATTCATCAAAATTATTTTGGACAGGCAGTGATGGTAAACAAATTACTTCCACCATACCACCACCACAGCCACCACTTTCACTCCCTACTCCACTTCCCATAGTCTATGAACTAAAAGGGAACAAAATATTCTTATCATTTATTATTAAAAAGATAAAATATTTTAGCATATAAAACCAAATTTATCTTATGCTACTAAAACAGAAAATAAATGCTTAACGAGTTTTACTTGAATTACATTAAATCACAAAGTAACATCTCAATACACACACACATAATATTCAGGAAAAAAATTTAAAAAACAACAAAACAATAAAAAATAATACAAATAAAAATCAATATAATAGCTATTTACACAGCATTTGTATTGTATTAGGTATTATAAGTAAGCTAGAGATGATTTAACGTATACAAGAGGATGGGTGGGTGCAGTGGCTTATGCCTGTAATCCCAACACTTTGAGAGGTCAAGGTGGGAGGATCGCTTGAGCCCAGGAGTTTAAGACCAGCCTGGGCGACACAATGAAACTCTATCTCTACAAAAAAGTTCAAAAGTTAGCTGGGCATGGTGGTGCGTGCCTGTGGTCCCAGCTAACTTGGGAGGCTGAAGTGGGGGGATCGATTGAGCCCAGGAGGTCGAGGCTGCAGTAAGCCATGATTGTACCAGCGCACTCAAGCCTGCGCGACAGAGCAAGACCATGTCTCAATAAATAAATAAATAAATAAAGTACATGAGAGGATATGCATAGCTTACATGCAAATACTGTGGGACAGTATTTGGATTTTGGTATCTGAGGGTGTCCTGGCACCAACCACCTGAGGATACTGAAGAATGACTATACATATAGACACACATCCATATAGAGTAAATATATATGCATCTACGTGTGTATGTCTATGTGTGTGTGTATATATATATATATAGTATATAATAAAGCACTCTTCCTAAAATCATGTATTTTAGAAAGTGTAATTATTTAAAAATTTTCCTCAATGTTCTACGTTTTTGGGTGCATGCTTACTTTTTCACCAAGAATTGTGACAGGCTTCCTAAAAGCAAGAGCAAGTATCTATATTTAGGTCTAGTTGTTGAAGTATTCCTATATAGAGTCAGCATATTGATACTTCAATTTATATAAGAACCAGTTTACATTCATATCATTCACATCACTTAAAGCAATCCTTTAGAAAGTGAGTTTAAAAACTATCAACCAAAAAAATATGCCTCATCCTTTTCATGGATTCTTGACCTATTTATAAGAAAGTCATTTTGGCGACAAGTTACTTAATTTATATCTGCCACAGTTTCTCCATTTGTATAATGAAGATAATAGCGTATTACCACATAGGCTTGCTGTGAACATTAGGTTAATAGTTGCAAACTGCCTAGAAAAGTGCAGTAAGTACATCATAAGCCTTCGAAAGCAGAGCTAATACAATCATCATCATCATCACTACCATTATCACTACTACCACCACCTTCATAAGCATCTCAACTGATTGTTAGTAAAAGTGTAGAGTCCTAGGCCACACTCCCAGAGATTTCAATTCAGTATCACACCAAAGTTGGGGAATATTGTGTTAAAGAGAAAGGGGAATAGATAAATAGCCAAGACACTACGTATACCAGTATCATCTTATAAATACAGTAACGGGAAGCAAAATACTTTAAAACAGAAAAAGCTTCAGTTTTAAAAGTCCAGTAACACCTTTACTTCCTCCTCTAAAATACACACAACTTATCCCCAAACCCAGTGGTTGCTTTCCAATGACCCTACTACTCAAGAGTAGATAGGATACAGAAATAAGTAAGAGGTCCCGGGCTCAACAAAGAGTTGAAGAAGCTTATATACTTCATTACTTCTTGGATAGAGAATAGCTAGCAATTTCACACAAAAATATTTGTGAGTAGAGCAATTATCAAATATTTGAGCACTAACTGTATGTGGAATGCTAAAGGGGACTGAACTATAAGACATTAAACTTTCCTGGAATCGCACTGGGAAAATAACCTCCCACTTTCTTCCAAGGATCACTGGAGTCTTGCTCCAGCTCAAGCAGTATACGCTGGGAACTCAGAGAAGAGATTTTAGTTAGGGTCGATAGGAAGGCTTCATAGAAGAAAAAGATCTTTGCTAGACCTCATAATGACTAAGATTTTTATAGATAGAAATTGCATTTCAGGTCAAAGAAAACAGTGTGAGCACAAAGCAGAAACTTGGAAGTACTACAGGTATTTCAGGACAGTACGTTGAATATTTGCCAACACTGGAAAGGATGGTTTTATTCTCTGCTCAAAAATCTAATTAGTACTTCAGGAAGATTGTTTTAGCAATGGTGTACATCATGGGGTATGTTATGATAGTGTAACCCTGGCTTTGAAAATGGACAGAGACAGGAATCTAAAGGATTATTTAAATTATGGCCAGGCGCAGTGGCTCACGGCTTCTAATCCTAGCACTTTGAGAGGCTGAGGTGGGAGGATCACTTGAGTCCAGGAGTTTGAGAGGAGCCTGCGTGACACAGCAAGACCCTGTCTTTACAAAATTAAATAAAACAAAACAAAATTAATTAATTGGCAGTGAGGACAAATTAGGTATCAAAGATGATTTAAGTATTATGTCTGTTTTTTTCTGGAACTTCCCAGTCTGTCCTGGTATATTCAAGATGAAGGAGATGGTAGACAGTGAGAGCTATAAAAAGTAAGTTCAGGGCTAGTCAGAGAGATTTTAGATTGGGGGAAAGGACTAACCTGTGGGAGCAAAGGTAGAGAGCAGTTTGAGCAAAGACTTGAAAGCGGGAAAGTGCAAACATTATTCTCAGGTTGATTAGCTCTGATTTGCTAGAGCCAGCAGCTCGCAACTGCCTTTTCTTTCCAATGCATCAAAAGGCCCTAAACGTGTTACTGAGGAAGAAAGAAGAGGCAAAACGGTTTAATGCACAGAATGCCTGTAAATGATGGTAACCTGGAGTTTAAATTAAATATTAAATTATGTTCCCTATATTCAGTAGAGCATACAAATGTATTTCGATATAGCTGATCATGTAAAATGTTCACAAATTTGGCCTGGCCAACAACAAAAATCAACAATAAAGCTTTGCTATATTCAATCTCACCCCTACTTTTTCAAAAAATTTTAATAAGCAATTTTTGTGGAATTCATTATATTACACATATGGATCTTCTCAATCGAGTGATTCATATGACTGTTAAATAGCTCCTTAAAGATAGAGGCCATGCTTTTCTTCTTTTTTCCCTCTGGTACTATCAAAACTCAACAGTATAAGGTATGGATTTAGTATACTTATTAAATGAAAGATATCCTATAATATGACCTGTGAATGGATTAAATAAAAGGTATGTACAGTTATAAAATTCCATAACAACAGACATGCAATTTATTTTTTTATTTTTTAACTTCTTGCCTTTTAATAATATCTTTGAATATAGATGGTTTCAATTCTCCAATAACAAGATGTAGAGTGGCCAAATGGTTTTTCATACATGTTTCCCTAGTCCAGACACCCAAGAGTATGTCCCTCTCTTGGGCATAAGAAAACCTAGAGTTATATTTAGGGCATCATGTGTGGTGAATAGTTGACCAAGCTGGCATGCTCACAATGACCAAATTATGTTTGTCATATTTTAATCCAATACATTGATCTACTATGAACTTGTAAATAATCTATTTGCTTTCTAGACACATTCCAGGAAGACCAGAGAAACTGACTTTTATCCATATGGAATAATCCACTGGCAAATTTCTTTTAGGACAGACCAAAGCTGATCTATAACATAATCTTTACATACTTGGATCCTTCCCATCAGACGAGAAAGAACATCTGGGGTGAAAGGCTCCATTAGAAGAGCAATGTGGGATGGTGCTGTGCTGACAACTGGTAGTTCCTGCCCTACGTCTTTGTAGAGGACTGGAGCCCAGAGCATGCCATGGTCAACTCGTATGTTGAAGTGAAGACCTCCTTCGAGGTGTGCATGTGCTTATTACAGATATGCCACGGTGCTAAGTACCCCAGGACTACATGAAAAAATAAGAATAGATGCTGTATCCATGATCATGAGGCACACAGGCCAGAGCGCCAGCTGTGGAATCGCACAGCCTGGGTTCAAAGCCTGGCTGGGCCATGACCACCTGAATGACCTGAGGAATGGTCTCAGGCAAATTTGTAAAAAGTGGAGACCCTGCCTGCCAGGGAGGCATGTGGTAAGAGGTGCATCCAGTCAGGTCAGGGCACTGCGTCCTCTCTTTGGAAACCTGCGGAGCAAGGCTGGTGGCCCTTGAGGCCACGGCAGCCATGGAGAAGGCGGGCCTGGCTCCAGGTGGCACAGAGGCACTGGAGAGGCCCCGGGGAAGCCTGGCGCGATCTGGCTGGTCCTGCGCTCTGCTTCCAGGTTCTGGCCCTGTAACCTGGGGGACAGGGCCGGCCAAAACAGGGCCACTGGGTGCTAGCCAGCACCTGGGCCAGGCGCCAGGTGGAAGGGCTCTGGCGGATCAGCCTCGCACCCCCAACAGCCCCACAGGGGGGCCCATCCAGGGCCACACACTTGCCCCCAGGAGCAGGATATCCCTGAGGCTAGAGTCCAGCTGGACCGGTGGAAGGGTCTCACCCTTTGCCCTTTGACTCCTCTTGTAGGCACCCTCGCTGGGCTCCTAAGCACTCCTCCACACACTGGCTCTGTCACCAGCCCCATAGTGATGTCATAAACTCCCAGATGCCCAGTGTGCACCCAGCCACAGAGAAGTGGGTGACTTAGGAGTATCCTCTCCGCTTCTGACCCTTAGTTTCGTCTGTGCACAACTCACTCAAAATGGGCAACTCGCTAAGCGTATTTTGTTCCTGGTTCTGCCGCAGGTCCTGGCCATGCCATCGGCAACCTGCTCGTCTTGTCCGTGAGGCCTTCCCAGCTGGCCGGGCTCACCCTGCAGCTCCTGCACCTGTGCCTGCCCGGGGAATTGTGGGCCGTTTCCCACTCCTCTTCAACCGTCAGCGACATCTTGGGCCTTCTTTTCCAGTCAGGTGGGACGGCGCCCCTATGAGGCTGTGTCTTATCCCTCGGAACACGGGCACCCCACAGAGGGTCCTGCGTCCTGTGGTCTGGAGCCCCCCCTCAAGGAAGAAACCCGTGCTGTCTCCTCACAACTCCATAATGTTTGGACACCTCAGCCCCGTAAGGATCCCTTGTCTCAGAGGCAAGTTTAACCTTCAACTTCCTTCATTAGATGATCAGGTGATCCCAGCCAGGCTCCCGAAGACGGAGGTGAGCGCAGAAGAGCCCAAAGAAGCAACAGAGGTGAAAGACCAGGTAGAGACCCAGGGGCAGGAGGACAATAAAAGGGGCCCCTGTAGCAATGGGGAAGCAGCCTCCACCTCTAGGCCCCTGGAGACTCAGGGAAACCTCACTTCTTCCTGGTACAATCCCAGGCCCTTGGAGGGAAATGTCCACCTCAAGAGCTTGACAGAAAAGAATCAGACTGACAAGGCCCAGGTGCATGCAGTGAGTTTCTACTCCAAGGGCCATGGAGTCGCCAGTTCACACAGCCCTGCTGGAGGCATCCTTCCCTTTGGGAAGCCTGACCCACTTCCAACAGTGCTCCCTGCCCCAGTTCCGGGCTGCTCCCTGTGGCCAGAGAAGGCGGCCTTGAAGGTGCTGGGTGAAGACCACCTGCCCAGCTCTCCAGGCTTGCTGATGGTGGGGGAGGACATGCAGCCCAAGGATCCTGCAGCTCTTGGATCAAGTAGGTCTTCTCCACCCAGAGCTGCCGGCCACAGGTCCCACAAAAGAAAACTGTCGGGGCCACCGCTGCAGCTGCAACCGACCCCTCCCCTGCAACTGAGGTGTGATAGAGACGAGCGGCCCCCACCGGCAAAGCTTCCATGTCTATCTCCTGAGGCACTGTTGGTGGGTCAGGCTTCCCAAAGAGAAGGACGCCTCCAGCATGGCAACATGCGTAAGAACATGAGAGTGTTAAGTAGAATATCAAAATTCAGGAGACTAAGACAGTTGCTTAGGAGGAGAAAGAAGACACGGCAGGGCAGGCGTGGTGGCTCATGCCTGTAATCCAGCACTTTGGGAGGCCCAGGCGGGCGGATCAGGAGATCAAGAGATTGAGACCTGAGGAGCATCTCTGCCTGCACCATCTGGGAAGTGAGGAGCGCCTCTGCCCTGCTGCTCCACCATCTGGGAAGTGAGGAGCGCCTGTGCCCGGCCACCGCACCATCTGGGCAGTGAGGAGCGCCTCTGCCCGGCCCCCGCCCTGTCTGGGAAGCGACAAGAGCCTCTGCCCAGCAGCCTCACAGTCTGGGAAGTGAGGAGCGCCTCTGCCCAGGCCCTGCCCCGTCTGGGCAGTGAGGAGTGCCTCCGCCAGGCCGCCGCCCTGTCTGGGAAGTGAGGAGCGCCTCTGCCCAGCCACCGTCCCGTCTGCGAAGCGAGGAGTGCCTCTGCCCGGCCCCCCTACACTCTGGGAAGCGAGGAGTGCCTCTGCCCGGCCCCCCTACACTCTGGGAAGTGAGGAGCGCCTCTGCTCGGCCACCGCCCCGTCCGGGAAGTGAGGCGCGCCTCTGCCCAGCCGCCCACTATCTGGGAATTGAGGAGGAGCGCCGCCTCTGCCTGGCCTCCACCCCATCTGGGAAGTGAGGAGCACCTCTGCCCAGCTGCCTCACAGTATGGGAAGTGAGAAGCGCCTCTGCCCAGCCGCCGCCCCATCTGGGAAACAAGGAGCGCCTCTGCCCCGCCGCCGTCCTGTCTGCGAAGTAAGGAGTGCCCCTGCCCGGCCTCCTCACCGTGTGGGAAATGAGGAGCGCCTCTGCCCCGCCGCCGCCCCGTCTGCGAAGCGAGGAGTGCCTCTGCCCAGCCTCCTCACCGTCTGGGAAATGAGGAGCGCCTCTGCCCTGCCGCCGTCCCGTCTGCGAAGCGAGGAGTGCCTCTGCCCGGCCTCCTCACCGTCTGGGAAATGAGGAGTGCCCCTGCCTTGCCGCCGTCCCGTCTGCGAAGCGAGGAGTGCCTCTGCCCGGCCTCCTCACCGTCTGGGAAATGAGGAGCGCCTCTGCCCTGCTGCCGTCCTGTCTGTGAAGTGAGGAGTGCCTCTGCCTGGCCTCCTCACCGTCTGGGAAATGAGGAGCGCCTCTGCCCGGCCACCGTCCCATCTGGGAAGTGAGGAGCGCCCCTGCCCAGCCGCCGCCCTGTCTGGAAAGTGAGGAGCACCTCTGCCCAGCCCCCTCACCATTTGTAAGGGAGGAGTGCCTCTGCCCAGCCCCTGCACCGTCTGGGAAGTGAGGAGTGCCCCCACCCGGCCCCCTCACCATCTGGGAAGTGAGGAGGGTCTCTGCCTGGCTGCTGTGCAACCTTCCAAGTGTGAAGTGACAGCCTTGTGTGTGATCTTTCTGCCCTCCCCAGGTTTGCATTTTCGACATTAAAGTTTACTTTTTAATTTAAAAAAAGGAGATCAAGATCATTCTGGCCAACATGGTGAAACTCCGTCTCTACTGAAAATACAAAAATTAGGCGGGCATGGTGGCTTGTGCCTGTAGTCCCAGCTACTCAGGAGGCTGAGGCAGGAGAATGGCTTGAACCCGGGAAGTGGAGGTTGCAGTGAGCCGAGATCGCACCACTGCACTCCAGCCTGGTGACAGAGCAAGACTGCGTCCTGAAACGATGTTGTAGTTGAGAGCAGGATGGTCTTTTGGGACAGGAGGAACAAGAGGTTCTGGTTGCCACTCTTCAATCAGTTCTTCTTTTTCCTTGACTGTAAGATCAGATCGTTCTTGTAATTTGTAAGTCTTAGAGAAAAGAAGTCTGATTATCCAGAGTATCAGAATCCCTTCCAAAATAAGATGGTAAGCAGGAGCCTTGTAAAGCGCCTGTACCATCTCCACCAGAACCCACTGCTCCGTGGCGGTCGCCATAGTTAGCTGCTTCCTCCAGACATGCAATTTATTAGAGCATCCATGCAGTACTGTTTCAGGTTACTGCAGCTCACTGTAACGCCACTACTGTGGCACTAGTAAATGCAAAATGGCCTTGAGAACTCTGTGAGATTTTACTTTAAGTGTATATATGATTTCTAGGTATTTACCTTTGCATTTAAAAAAATCACTCACTAATTTACGAACTCTCTGGGGATATTCATAAAATATTTCAACGTGATTAGACTCGGATAAAAAAACTGTTTTCCATGTTTATTTAAAATATATTTCTTGCATCTAAATTTATATTTTCAGTCTCCAAAATATTTCAGCACATTTTATTCATCTGATCCACTGAATTAACCAATAATATCTTGTCACATACCATTCATTTCTGAATAATTAAAGAGATCTTAACAGCTGTCATATTTTAGGGATACTGACCCTTTAAACCTTATAGCATCATACTAAAATAGGCAAATACCATTTCCAAAGTAAGTGGGTCATTTATCTTAAAGTATAAGGAAAGGAACTAGCATTTGTTAAAATACCTCCTAAACTATATCCATTATATTTAATCCTTACAACCGTGAGAGATAGTATATACAAACCCATTTTGCAGTTGTGAACTTGCTTAAGGTCTCACAGCTATTAAATTATCCTGTTTTAATTCCCATCATGTTTGTCTAGCTCCAAGTCTAAGCTCATCCTTCTTACAATAACTACCTGGAACACTGCCAAGTACCATGTTAAAAAAGAGACTATGGCATAAAGGGGCAGGAGCAGGGGCACAGGGCAGGACTTAGTGAAGTAAAAGCAAACATTGTAAAGTCCAAGTACTTTACTCATTGAAGTGCTCTTCAAATCTATTATGAACATTCTTTCTCTTACTTTATTCACAGACACCCTTCTCTGTACACTAGTAGCTATCAGAATTAATATCAAGCTTTGAAAAAACAGACACTTTATACAAATGCAAAGCAACAATAGCTACTGAGAATTATTTTTGAAAGGACAAATGGCCCTATGACATACCTCAGTAGCCCTGAGGCAGTGTCTTCCTGAATACACTGTCTTAAGAAATTTTCATCAACAATCCACAGTCACTATATTTTATAACAAGAGGGGTTGAGATTAACTATTCTAGCAATCAAAGAAGATAGGTGTTTGTTATCTGGAAAATTTACTAACTGAATGTCCAATGATGCTATGAATAAAGATGAATAAAATTTTGATTTTTCTAAAAAAATTCAGGAAGTATCTATGGTATCATTTTGTACTTTCCAAACAGAATAGAGTGTACAAATTATAAATATAGTTAATAACATCAGTTAGTAATAAACATAATTAAAAGCATTACAAACATAGAGAAAAATATTAAAAATTCCAAAAGGTATAAGGTTCTTAATTTTAAGAACAGAAAAACCATGGTTCCTGTGTTAACAGAAGCTGGCAGTAAACATACCCCTTTCAAAGTTAAAAGAGTATTTCAGAATGGAGTTTTAGAGCCTATAGCACTTTATAAATGAAGGTGGAATTTTTGTTACTCCAATGTACTCCTTTCTTCTTTCCCTCTCTTTCCCTGCCCTTACCTCTATATCATAACACATAAGAGTTCTCATTTTACTTTAAGAAAAATGCTATCTCATCTAGTATAAAAAGGTGAGACAACTTTGCATTTTAAATTAACATAGGGTCTTTAGGAGTTTTGAGGATTTCAATACCAAAATGCATACAGGTTGGATCTTTAAAAACTGTTACAGCAGAAGTGCCAAAACACAGTCTCTCTAGCATTTTGAACAAGGTTTCACAATAATTAGCACTGCAGTAGGTAATTTAACATGTGTGACCTTTTGTATAGTAACAATTCTAAATAACAGCCAAGAGCACAGTCATTTATTTGTTTGTTACCTTGATTTGGGGCAAAACGACACAAGAAGACCAGTTCTACACAAAGAATTAACACAGTACTGTGCTAATATAAGTAAATAAAGTTTAGTTCAAAGAGAAACAAATAATAAAAAGTCAAAGAGAGAACTGAGCTGGCAACTGAGAAGCATAAACCATTTTGGCCTACATTTGTTTGTAATGACTATGTGACCCAGATACTAAAATATTTGGCTAACATTCAGAAATCTAGCAACTGAAAGAAATAAGATATATGGTTGGCTGGTTAAATATTTTAGCCAAAATAACAGATTCTTAAAATCATGCATTATTATAGTATTTTCTACACAGAAAATTTTTAAACTTTAAAAATAAGTATTTCTTTTTTGCTTTGTAAATTATCCCATAAATTATACTTCACCTTTATAATCAGACAATAAAGATGACACTATTTACTACAGAGGTTATGATACAAAACTCCTTTGGAGAGAAGAGCTGAGAGAAAATATACTTTTTAAAAGTAATTTATTTAAGAAACTGTATTTTCCTAAACTATCTTTGTTCCATTTATGGCCTGCATAGTTTACTCTACAGACAGGTGTCTATTAAATGAGAAGAGAATTTTTGGGAAAAAAAAATTCTTCAACTCCGAACTATATAAGCTCTGCTAATGAGGGTGCTTGAAACACAGGAGTCAGAGAGTAGATTCACTAGGGACTCGACTTCATACTTACAGGCTTGATGGGGGAAGGTGGTGTTTCACATAAGTAAAAAACGTAATACACAATCCTTAATGCAACTGTGGTGGACCATGCTGAGAGCCTATCCAACGCTTCCTTCTTCCTAATGATCCATGATTGGATTTCTATATCCACATCTCTCCCAGTGGTCAATGCGCCTCAGGGTAAGCTGACTGTCCTGAGCTGCAAGGGTAGACCACAATTAATCTAATCCATTATGGTAAGCTCATCCCTTTTGCCAACGATTAGTTAAGGCATATTTAGAATTAAGCTAATTTAGGACAATAAGGAGCAAGTTGGGGGCAGGAGTGCATAAGGACTTCTCAGAGAAAAGAACCTATATTGCCCATGAGAACGCCAAGAGAAGTTTATTTCTCTCTTTGGATCTGAAGGAGGAAACACACAATCCTGATTGCAGCCAGCAGCCATTTGGCAACTACAGTGTTGGGATAAAGGAAATATTATGGATAAAGAGTAGAGTAGACGACAAACTGAGTCCTTGAAAAAAATCACTGAGCCACTGGCGTAACTAATCCTAATATATGTATTTTCTTATGTGAGCTAACCAATATTCTTTTTATTTAAGCCAAATTAGACTAATTTGGAAACTAATTAGCTATTAGGAAACTAACAATTGCCAAGTTCTATTTTCATTACTTTTAGAAAACTTTAGAATTTTACCCATTCCTAGCTTTAAAAAAAAACCATATGCTACTTTTTGTATATTTTCCTGATTTCCTACAGTGATTGTGTATTACATGTGCTATTGGGAGCAGAGTTATTCAATCTTAGTGTACCAATATGACCTCTTCTTGATCATCAGTATAAAAAATTATGCTTTTAGTCTAGTAATGCTTTCAGGGGCCCATGATGTACTCAGATCGCTATGTTCTTATAGCCTGATTTTGCTCCAATATCAACTGTCTCTTGTTCCTGCTGTACTCTGCTCACAACAGTTTCAGAGAACCACTACACTCTCATCTACAGTTCATTGGTTCTCTACGCCCTGTGCATTCTCATCCTACTCTGAGTTCCCAGTTATACACACGCAGATGGCTGAAGTTGCTAGAAGTATGTTCTGAAGCATATGAAAATTATTCTCAGGACAGTGAATTTCTTTTTGAACTTAGTTTAAAAATATAACCTAGATAACTAGTTTTGTACTTCTTTTAAAAAGTATCTCATTTATGCCTTCCCTTCCTCCCTTCTTTTGGCATTCACTTTTCCTAGAAATACTTTTGACCTCTTACTTTTAAATAGATATTGAAGATTTCTATATGGTCAAGGCTATAAAACAACAGCCTATGGGCCAAATATATTTAACAGGTCGATTTTGCCCTGTAGAGTTATTGTCACAGAGTATCTTAAAAACACCTAAATTAATTACCAACTAATTTACATAAAAATCTGTATTTTAGGATCCTTTGGAAAAACTGAAATATTGGGTAACAATCAGCCTGAATACTCCCATGATCACCATCAGATGGAGCAGAATATTAGCTGTCCCTCTACTCAGTTAGATGAGCACAAATTCTCTAAAGCCCCAGTCTCATTATTATTTCCCTAAATGGCCTAATTCTTTATAGTTAAGGCCCGTATAGGTAGTTGACTATGGTATCCCTGATACAACAGGCTAGTAACAGCCATAGGTACATGAAAGAAATAAGATTGGTTAAGAAAGTACAGAAGTTCATAAGGAATTCTGTGAAGTCTGTTTCCAAAATGTTTCCTCCGGCATCTTTTAATTTAACCAGCAGTCTATCTCTAGAGCCAATGATCCAGCAATAAATTCTCTGAATAATCATGAAAAAAGTGTTTCTTAATAGAAAGCTATTTGAAACAAAAGGGTTAAATTCTTCATGTAAGTTTCAATCAATCAACCAATAGGAAAATCCTAAAGAGTCACCTTCCAAATCTGATATTCATTAATAAGTGGTGTAAACAAGATGACCTGCACTATATATATATATATATACACATCATATATGTCCAAAATTACTTATGTGTTTTATGTATAAATCAGGAAGTCAAATTATCTTTTAAAACTAAGTTCTCCCTATACTCCCTATATTAGTTAATGAAGTCAAACAATAACAAGAATTAGCACAATTCAAAAATTATTTTTTAAGGAACGATGTTTTCTAAATTATATTTATAATATAGTCACTTCCTCCTAACATTAAGTACAAGTTACCTGAAAGTATTTTAGAGATAATCTTATAATCAGATTCTATAGGTGGAACAATAACAATACTATTAATAGTTTTACATTTCTGTCAAATACAAGGCTTTGTTCACATCCCAAATTTCAAATCTATTCCCTTCTCTCCAGCTCCACTGCTGTAACCATCATCTCCAACCTGGCCTACCGAAATAGCATCTAACAACAATGCTTCTATATATACTATAGTCAGACTCATGATTTTCAAATGAAAAATTTAATCATGGCATACCCCGATGCTTAAAACCTTTCCATGGTTTCCCAATATCCCTTAGGATATAGGTCAAAAAATCCTGAAGAATGCATAATCTCTTTCCTACATTCTTCTCTACATTTACTTATCCTTCTTTTCAACGCTCACACTGGAATCTTTTCAGTTCTTCCTTTTACTTTTGTAGATGCTATTTCTGTTGCCTGCAATGTTCCATCCTAACCCTTCTCCTAATTCCTAGGCTTAAGCTAACTCATGCTGATTCTTCCAATCTCAGCCCAAAAGTTATTTCTCATGTCCTACCCTCAGTTCACATTCAACACTCCCCCACCATCCCAGAGCAGGTTAAGTCCGCCTGTTATATTCTTTCCTATCATCTTACAATTTCTCCCTTAATGCTCATCTTAGTTATAATTATTTGTTTAGTTCCAAAGCTGCTGGTTTCGTGAGGACATGGAAAGATATCTGTCTTGTTTACTGTGTTACACTATCATTTAACACAATGACTGGCAAGAATAGCATTTAATAAATATTTGTTGAATAAATGAGTCTCATTAAATCAAACCCACAGATAAATGAATTATTGTTGAAAATGCAGCATAGTATACAGCACAAATATCTGGAAGTCCTGAAGACCTGGTTCATGATTCCAGGTGGACTACTTGCTGTATGACTTTAGGGCTCAAACACCCAGATTCTTTACCTTAATAAGAATATTATCCAATGCCTGCTCTGTCTTCCTTAAACAGCTGCTGAGAGAAAAAAAGGAATAATTTACTTTCTCAACTCTTAAAGCACATTTTTTTCACAGTAACATTTTTCAAATCAATAGGAGTCTTACCAAAGATATCAAAAGAACTTTTAATAACAAAGGAGATACTATACAAAATACTATAATGCTTTGTATTACACCCACGTGTATTATTGTATCTCTGTGTGAACTTAGACATGACTAAGAATTTACCTTCTGTTCACTTATCAGCATCAACAGAACTATGCACAGCTAAATTTTAACTTAATTTGAAATCCCTAAATTACCTCTTAAAATGTCTTTTAAAGATCACTATAATGCAGCATTGAAACAAAAAGTTATTATACATGCAGAACTTTCTGTGACATGTGGCTGAATTATGTTTAATGAAGGTTTCACAAGTGATAATTCTGAGCAGATACCAAATATCTGGCTGTTAAAGTCTTCTGGATGACTTTCAAGAGAAGTTATTTAACTTCTAGTGAAATGTAATATAATTAGTAAAAAAATTTTAATTAAATAGGAAATGGAAACCTCGCCAAAGTAATTCCTGGACATGGCTCAGAACGACACTATCAATCCTAAAAGTGTTAAAGATCAGGAAGAGCAGCATTTGCTACAGTGCCTATGGCCCAAAGGAATTCAGAATAATCCTTAGAAAAATTCTCCTCCTCCCCCAAGAAAAGTGTTTTATTTTTCCAAAAAGAGACATTAAAAAGTTGTTATGAAATCAAAGAATGTGCCTTACAATTGATGAGCTTTTAGAATCGAGAAAATATAGTAATATGCATGAACATATTCTTTAAATTAACTGCTATACAAACAGGTAATTTTAAAGGTGCCCACTTTGTGCTAAGTACAAAAAAAGTGCTTTATATAAAACTTAAAAGCTTCTCCCAAAGTCACTTATAAAGTCAGTGTTTGAAAATGAAAAGATGAAATGGGATTCCAATATCATTGTTTCAGAAGAAATAAAATGTTCCCCCTAACGCTGAACAGACAGACTTGACAAAACTAAATCCACTTCTTTTGCTCTGTTCCCACTTTAAGCACTGCCCACATAATTCATAACACTGTCATTTGTTAAATTCTTTAAAATATTCTGAGAAACTAATTCTAATATCTAATCACTAGCATCCAAAAGTTCTTTGTGTCTATCCTCATTCTTTCAATTATTATATTCAATGTAATATTTCACTTGATTTTGTATTTTGCTGATACTGTTTTAAGCAATATTCACCTCAGTCTTATCTTCAAGAACAAATCAGGACATGTGCTTTCAGTTAATCTTCTGTAAGTAGTAGTACTGGTTTTCTGTGACTCCTTCTCCTGGTGACCAAAACTATGTATTGCCAATATGACAGGTTGGTGGTGCTGGTGACTAATGAGACTAAAACCAACAAAGCTGACTCATAATCAAACCTTTGACTGTGACTATTCAGTACCTGTTTTAAAATATTTTATCTCTATTCCTTCTTTAGAAATGATCATTGGAAAATTATCTCTTTAGACTTCTTTCTCTGATTCAGTATCTTAATCTCTTTGGCTAGGTACTTGTCAATTTGATCATAAACAAATTCTGGAATTGACCTAAAAAGATGGCTTAGGAAAGCTGTAAGATTTTTCTGCAAAATAGAAGGTAGAACAGAATGTAGAACTATGGCAAATAGCCACTTGTTTCTACCAATTAGTAGCTCATTACATTGTGAGTAGCCTATATACAGTGGTTTATAAAGAATTCTAGCATTAGACAGATGCTTGTATTAGAAGATCTATAAATTATGTTAATGTTATAAACTTTATTCAGATTGGAACTATTGAACTATCTTGGTAAGACAAAGACTTTAGATGAATTATGATTTATCTTTAAAACATACCTTTAAGTATTATAATCACAAATATAAAAATTAAACATGAGGGACATGGGAAAAGAAACAGGATGGGAGTAATGGAATTTCCAGCACTACGCTGTGTACTTCCAAATTATCTCACTTAACTGTCAATCCTGTGAGGTTGATACTACTACTGTCATACAGATGAGAAGACAGTGGCTGATAGCTCTTAAGTGACCCTAGTGTAAATCCAGTGGTCAAATCCATGTGTGCTTGACTATACCAGTTTCTGAAATGTGGTAATGGCAAATACCCATGCTCAGCAAAAACTGCACTTCCTTGTGGTAGTTTGCATTTCCATAGATGGCTGCAACAATACATCCCAAACCATTTGCTCTTCTACAGTGTAATCTTGCTACTCCATCTTTAACAAATGAAGCCTATTTCTCTTCCTGTTGATCTGGGCTGGCCTTGTGACTTGTTTTGATCAACAGAATGGGCAGAAGTAATGCTAAGTAACTTCTAAATATGGCCCTTTAAAAGGCTGCAGCTTCTTTGCCCTTGGAACATTTCTTTTTGGAATCCAGCTACCATGTTGTAAGCAAGCCCAACTAACTTCACAGAGAGGCACACTTAAGGAGAGCTGAGGCACCCAGGCCACCCCCAACTGTGCTCCACGCCAGCAGCCTGCATCCACTGCCAGCTATGTAAGTGAGGCCACTGTGGACTGCCCTCTTTCCTAGCACCCCAGCCAAGACCACACAAAGCAGAAGACTCACTCAGTCAACTCTCAAAATTATGAGAAATAATGAATTACTGTTGTTTTAAGCCATTAAACTTTGGGGTGGCTTGTCATGCAGCTACTAATGAAGTGAAACACTCACCATCTTCCTTAGAAATGTATTTCAACAATGCCAGTGTTGGCACTAGAAGGGCCAATAAGAAGCCAAATTTTTGTTTTTTTGTGACTACCGAAATAGAATTATGGAAAATCACAGTAACGCTTAAATTTCAATAATTACTAAAAGTTACACTCATTTTACATTGAAAAACAACATGGTTCAGCACTTAAAATCACAATGTTTCATAAAATCACAATGACTTTGGATAAATTTAATACTGAGTGAAACACTAAGTCTTATGAAAATAAGGGCAACGCTTAAAAGTTTGAAAAAGAAAGGCAAATAGGTAACAGAATAAAGTCTGATTATATCAAAATAAAGCTCATATATTTGATTTGTATCCTATGTATTATGAATTATATGCTTTACATGTATTATATAGCCTATGTATTATGATTATGGGCTATATAAAGAATTAGTATACAGTAAAACATACTACATTGAATTTTACTAAACATAATGTTTTGTCTTATTTAGAAACTTCTTTAAAGATAAACATTGTATTTGGTGAAGTATCAGTATACCAGCAAAATACTACTTCATAAAAATTTCCAGTTGACAGAAGTCTGGATTACAGTCCGTTGCCTTATTTTAAATTTCTGTTATACAACTGTAAAAGTCTTGTTATACCATGAAATATGCTGAATACATGCAGACTTAAAGGAATATTTTTAGATAACCTCTGAAGGATATCAGATAATTTATTACAAAAATAAGGATTAGTTAATTTATGAAGGATAAACATAATTTCCAGTAGTGACATTATCAAAGAAGATTATTGTGCTAGAAAGACAATTGCCCTGACCCAATAAAAGAGTCTCTTATGATTTAAACAGCAGAGAGAAAATAATCTAGCGTAATTCCAATTTTGGTGCTATAATAAAAGGTAGGAAAAAAAGGAAGTCCACATAAATACCTAATACAGTCTTCATAATTCTTAGAAAATAAAGAATTCTAAAATAGCAAGTAAAGAATTTTGAAAATTCTATGCTTATCAGACTGATGCTGAAAAGTTATTTAGTCTAGTAAAAAAGCATTTCTGAAAAAACTAGAAAAAATAAATGATTTACTCAATTTTAAAACTTAATTTTGTTTTGACGCAGACACTACGAAAGATTCTATATCCAGAAATAAAATCCTATTTTGCTAAAAAGAGATTTCCAGAGCAACTGTACCGTAAGAGTAAGGTCTAGCAATTTACAACTACTATATTTCTTTTCAGTTGCTACTAGAAAATATACATTCAAGACAGATTCTTAATTCTCTTCCATGACTCCAGATACTCAGCTAACACTGAGGTTGAAACTATGCCCAAGTCCCTGCATATTCACACAAGGTTGCTATTTGGCTGCAAAGGAGCCTTTTACAAGAGAGAAAGTGAACATAATGGGGGAGAAGGGAACTGAAGAGAAAGAAAAAGCTGCTTTTGTGCCATATGAATTATTTATTCAGTCAAGCAATGAACTCACTACTTCTAACTCTAACAATTTATCAGAGAACTCTAAATAGTGAACTCAAAGGCTTAGTTTGAAAATTATCACTATTCAGCCAAGCTGTAATTTTTTCCACTTGAAAATGTTTTTAAAACATAAATTGTATTTTATCCAGTAATTTCAATTTCCAATTTATAAATTTTATAATCAGAGCCAAAGTGTTAATTTTTAAAACAGACCCAAAAAAAACCCCAGATAATAACTTTCATCACAGGCTATTAGGAATTAACAAACTACTCATTTTTTGTTATTCTTAGTTTAGGAAGCTAATTATAGACATGTCAATTCATGAAACCTTAAATTATTACTATTTGTGTTCAACTGATAACCAAGTATCTTAAACTAGTTCAAGAAAACCTTTATTCATCTGGTGAGTGCTGTTGAGATTTATTTTACCAAAGTCTCCATGAGGTAGTCCTGGTTCTTGATCAGTATAGACAGACTAGACTCAGATTTCTCCTACAATCAGTAATGATGTTTAGTTGCCTAAATTATTAATAGAGATTAAATCACTTTGGAATAAGAATAGAGATAAGGTACTTGCTTCTTGAAAAGAGAAATAATCAGGTCCAATCTGTGCCCAAATGGCCTTTTCTTACATATCAAAGATAATGCAGAATTTTTGCCACCTTTCTCATCATAAAATAATTTACTTAAAAAATATGAATATAATAGAGAGACCACACATTTATGGTCAATTGATTTTCAATAAAGATGCCAAGAACACACAATGGGGAAAAAACAGTCTCCTCAATAAATGGTGTTGGGAAAACTGAATGTCCCCATGCAGAAGAATGAAATTAGACCCTCATCTCACATCATTTACGAAAATCAACTCAAAATTGATTAAATACTTAAACATGAAACCCGACACTATAAAACTCCTACAAGAAAACATAGGGAAAAAGCTCTCTGACACTGGTATGGGCAATGACTTTCTAAATATGACCCTAAAAGTATAGGCAACAAAAACAAAAATAGACAAATAGGATTACATCAAACTAAAAATTTCTGCTCAGCAAATAAAACAATCAAGAGTGAAGAGACAACCTGCAGAATGGGAGAAAATATTTGAAAACACACCATACAACTGATAAGACATTAGTATCCAAAACATGTAAAAAGCTAAAGCAACTAAATAGCAAGAAAATAAATAAACCTAATAAAAAAACAGCAAAGGGTGCAGACATTTCATAAGGGATGACATACAAATTGCCAACAGGTATATGAAATAGTGCTCAGCATGACTAATCATCAGGGAAATGCAAATTAAAACCCAATGAGAGACTACCTCACACCTGTTAGAATGGTGATTATCAAAAAGATGAAACAGAACAAGTGCTGATGAGGATGCAGAGAGAAGGAAACCCCTGTACGCTGTTGCTGGGAATGTAAATTGGTACAGCCACTATGGAAAACAGTATGGAGGGTCCTCAAAAACTAACATTGGAGCTATCATATGATCCACCAGTCTCACCAATAGTTATAAATACAAAAGAAATGAAATCAGTGTGTTGATGAGGTATCTGTACTCCCCTGTTCATTTCAGCATTATTCGTAAGAGCCAGGATATGGAATCAACCTAAGTATCCATCAACAGATGAACTGATAGAGAGAATGTAGTATACGCACACAACAGAATACTATTCTTCCTTCAAAGAGAAGAAAATCCTGTCAGTTGCAACGACACGGATGAACCTGGAGGACATTATAATAAGTGAAATAAGCTAAGGCACAGAAAGAGAAATGCCAATGATCTCACTTATACGTGGAATCTAAAACAGTCTAAATCATGGAAGCAGAGAGTAGAATGGTGGTAACCAGAGGCTGGGGTGTAGAAGGGGTGGGGAAATGTTGGTCAAAGGATACAAAATTTCATCTAAACAGGAGGAATAAATTCAAGAGATCCATGGTAAATCATAGGCCTACAGTTAATATACTGTACACCTGAAAATTGTGAAGAGTAGATTTTAGGTGTTCTCACAACAAAAAGTATGTGAGGTAATGCATATGTTAATTAGCTTGATTTAGCCATTCCACAATGTGTACATATATCAAAAAATAAAGTTGTACACCATAAATATAATTTTATCAATTTAAACAAATAACAGAAGATAATGAAAATATTTTGTATTTTGTGTAAATGAATGAATAACATACTTTTTTTTTGGCTTGAGTCATTCTGTAACCTAAAACGGACACAGAACACAACTTCTTTTGGAAAGTTACACACTTGTCTCCTTACACTTTCATTTTCTATTTGAAATGGTTTGAAAATCCCTAAGTCTCAGGAGGAGTGTCTATCTGACATAATTTTATGGGACTCTATTTTTTCTTTTTTCTTTTTATTTTTTGAGACCGAGTCTCACTCTGTCACCCAGGCTGGAATGCAATGGTGCAATCTCAGCTCACTGCAACCTCCACCACCCAGGTGCAAGTGATTCTCCTGTCTCAGCCTCCTGAGTAGCTGGGATTACAGGAGCCCGCCACCACACCCGGCTAATTTTTGTATTTTTAGTAGAGATGGGGTTTCGCTATGTTGGCAAGGCTGGTCTCAGACTCCTGACCTCAAGTGATCCACCCACCTCAGCCTCCCAAAGTGCTGGGATTACAGGTGTGAGCCACTGCACCCAGCCTAGACTCTATTCTTAAAAAAACCAGAAGAGCAAATCATGTTTTGTGCATTTCCCCTAACTTGCTCCTTTTTCTAGGTACATCTGACATTCCCTGCTTCTGCTTTTTTCCCAGACAAATCACTTGGTAATATATAGGCACTGATTCTCCTTGATTATACTCATATTTTACAGAATGAGAATTAAGGCCAGTAGAATAGTTAAAATTCACCTGAGTTATGGTGAGGAAAGTAAGGCCCACACAACCTATGTTACTAACCCAGATATCTACAACTAGTATGTGGCACAGCAAAGATTAAAGAACATGTTTCCAGACACCATCTGTTGCTCTTTGCAAAATGTCCCCACTAATTCCCCTGAAGGGCCCTGGAATTCATATCTGGGAGTCTATACAACTGATAAAATCTTTGCAACACACTTTAGTAATAATTTACTGTGAGGCTTAAAAGGGTATGCCCAATAATTCTACTCCTGGGATTCTATCCTATCATAAAAATCCAACTTGTCAGACAAGCTTCATATATAATTATTCCCATCTAGTATTTATGATAAAAATTGTTTTAAAATTTTTTTAATTTTTCAAAATGTCCAATAATAAGGGGAGACGCTATTTCCACTATAATGAAGAAATTTAAAATGTTTATGTTAAAGGTTTATGAAAGTGTTAAAAGAGGCACTTTCCTATGTCTAGTGACCTGTCAGGAGGCAACAAGTTACAAAAATACATGAATGTATGCTAAATAAGTGTTTTCAATCAAATAAATCATTAGATCTTACCCAGGCATGGTGGCTCATGCCTGTAGTCCCAGCTACCTAGGAGGCCAAACAGGAGGATCACTTGAACCCAGGAGTTCAAGGCCAGCCTGGGCAAAATAGCTAGACCTCATCTCTAAAAACATTAAAATTAAAATAACACAGATATATGCTAAACAAATGTTTTCAATAAAATAAATCCATAGATCTTCACTGAGTGAGAGTCTATCACATTAAGACTGACAGAGGCAAGACTGGAATCTTATTTTAAACAGGTGGCAGTTACACAGGGAGAGAGAATGATCTACTTTATGTAAGAAATACATTGCTTTAGTTTCTTTAAACTGGCATTGCACAATTCATTTTCTTCCTCATAGGGAAGAAAAACCTGCCTCGATAATCACTTGAAGGTAGTTAAAAAATGAGTTTCCTAACACCTCCCCACCACATAAAAAAACTTCAAGGTCCTCATTATTAAAGCTGAGCTTTATCTTACTTTGGAAAACTGTAATAAATATCTTCCAAGTGTTTTTAAGAGACTAAAGGAAAGTCCTCCTTTAAAGCACCACATCTCACTTATCAAAGCTTTAAACCATCCTCAGTAGTTACAGGCCTTAAACTTAAAAATCTGTAAATCTTGTCTTATCTTAACCCCAAGGAAAAGACTTAATTAGCAAAAGTACAGTCTGAAGACGATAACTGACTTAATTGAGCATGCATGGTTATACTTTTAAGACAGAAATGGGACTTACAATGTATGTAATTTGACAAGATTTAAGTTCCCTTCACACAATAAGAACAACCAGACTAAAGGCAGCGAAAAAACGGTGGTATTTTTCCTAACAGGATATTTTTCTATTTTAGATGATATTTCATTTTTCTTCATCAAGTGGTCTGCTCTTGACTTATCAAGACATGATAGAAAAGGACATTAGATGGCTTTATCTATCTCAAAAAGAAAAAAAAAACTCTACGTGCAAAAGTTTCAATTTTATATTTATTTTTTGCTAAAAGCAGTATTTTTACTCCCAAAGCCATCTAATTTAAAATAAATCATTAAGGGCAACTACTAAAACACCTCAAAAAGGTACTATTTCATTCAAATTTGTAAGCACTAAACTCACATCATCCTACCTTTATTTTGGGTCTAAAGTTTCCACGTATCAACAACTCATATTCTTTTACTAGTTTCTGTAACTAGAATTCTGAAAACCAACTATCCAGTTACTTAAAATAACCCTGAAGTAGCTGAAACATCCAAGTTAGCAAGAAATTTCCTATAGTTCTGTTCATAGGGAGGTAAGAGTTTTTCCACACAAGACATAGAATTTTTCTTCTGAAACAAAGCAGATGAGCTACAGTGAACAAATTGTAAATTAACTAATAGTTGTCATAAGCTTCCCTATAAACTCCCTACATTTTAATGATGACTATTCATACTTCCAAACAACTGGACACAGTAAGAAAATCGTAGCTTCTGCTTCAAACTAGCTCTTGTGATGTAAGCCAAATTACATAACTTTTTGAGGTTCTCAGTTCTATCTATAAAATGAACCAGACCAGATGGATTTTTAAGGTCCCTTTCCACTTTAAGAATCTATATTTCATTTTCTCTGAGACTTTTAAAAATCTTTTTCAAAGGTGGTAAGGCATCTTTGGAAGAAGGAAAAGAATTTCTTTCTTTTTACAGTAAAAGAAAATATTTTCACCTTTTTCTGACAATCTGCACAGAAAAGTTTTCTAGGCTCTCTCCTAGCATTTTCAATACCCCCTTGGGATCTAGGGAAGCTGATTTCCCTTTTAACAAGATGATCTCTATAAATGAATGAGGCTGTTTCTGCTAATGGCCTCCTGTTCACCATTCTCCTTTTAGAGTATCAGCTACTAATTCCAACTGGGCAGGTTTACCTACATATCCTGCTTAGTCAAGGTGGGCCTCATAACCCACACAAGTTGATCTCCCATAAAAGGTGTTAGCAGTTGATTTGGTTTTGTCTTTAGCTCTTTATGGGAACATCAAGGCTTCTGGGAAGTAGTTTTATACAGGTGGACAACTCATAACACTTAGCATCTACATTCCCCACATAAAATGCCACAAACCTACAGAACAAAATGAATTTTAGTTACCAGTTTACTTTCCTGTCATTAAGAAAATTCTAAAACGTAAAATTAATGTTTCTACTTTAACAGGTTTAATAGGATTTATTACATTATATAATACAACCCCCGCCCCTGCCAATCTATTTTTTTCTATCACAGTGTATACTTTAATCTTCAGGTAAATGGAGTAACTGACAAATGGAGTGATTTAAGAGCACTATAAATGAAAAGACTAGTCAACAAAAATGCTAAGTACATAAATGGTTTAGTGAAATGTCTGTGAATCTGGATATTCAACATGCTAATTTGGGCTTGACCACCTCCCCAACTCCCTTCTGCCTCTCCCAAATTGTAAAATCCAAACTAATTCTTCCAGTAGAAAACTTCCAGTCAAACATTAACATCTGGATAAATTTTTAAATGTTTTTATTTTCTGTATTTTCCCGTATCAAAATATCAGACATCTCCTCTGGTAATATTTTTCATTAATTTAAATTTCAAGTTAAGATTTCTTTTTCATTAAATCTATTAAAAGAATCTTAAGCTTTAATCACTAAACTGCTGATTCAGAAAAACAAACAAACATGAATTAGTTCTCAACTATTCCAGGAGTCCACCTTAATATGTTCAAAATAACCCAGAACAAGTTAAAATGTCCAGGATAGCAAGAAAATTCCCACAATCGGAGTCTAAAAGGAGGTAAGGATCTTTTCACTCAAGGCACTGAATAGAGCTTTTCTTCTAACACAAAGTGTATGAGGTACAGCGAACAAACTGTAAAGGTAACTAGTTCTTTTGTCATATGGTCCCCTACAACCTTCTTATATTTTAACAATTAATGACTATTGGCAGCTTCTAACCAGTAAGGATACAATAGTTTCTGCTGGGGAAATTGAAGTGAGCCTAAGCATATTACTAATTTTCTAACAGATTATCAGAACTCAAATCAGAAAATTTAAATGAGTAACATTCAAGAATTTTCTATTTCATTACTGTAAAGTTGACATTAAATCTTAAATACTTATTTAAGTATATTTATATGTAAGTATTTTATACTTGAGTTGACAAATTGTCAAAATTACCAAATTAATGTAAAAAATACACAAATAATCTTTTAATATATACTACATATATCCATGAACATATGAAAAACTTAATTACTGGGAGACAATCTAATCTAATTATTGACTTTAAAAAGTGAGATTTTAAAAAGCCCATGGCTATATATTTACTTAATATAATTTGTCAGTTAATGTGCCTATTACATAACCAAAGACACCAGATCAAATGGTAACCAAAAATACCAACCAGCAACCCATCTAGTCTGCTCTGCATTTATGTATGATATCACCAGGATCCAGTGAGGCTGTCAGAAAAAGTATGGAGAAGACAGAAAGTCCACCTACACTTAGCCTGCACCTTTTCCTCAGAAAGAAATGTCACCCCTTCCCCAAGAAACCTCTATAATAGAAAAAGAAAAACGTGGGGATTATGCCAAATTGACCCCAAGCTTTAGTCTCCTCCTCAAGGCGCATTCAGTAAAAACATCGAAACACACATCTGATTTGACAGGCATTTGAGTTTACAAAGAACACGGTAAAATGAAATCATACTTGGAGCATTCATGGGTTCTGTGTCAAAGGTCACTTAGTAGTATTTCATCTGCTGCCTACTAAGATTTAAAGCGGGCAGAGAATAGAGAGCCACCAAACCATAGCACACCTGCTCTAAATGGCACCTTCAGAATCATCTCCTCCAACCTTTTCATTATACAAACACATTTTATAACATATTTGATTAACTCTGAATTTCCTAAGAGCTATGACAGAATGATACTAATTTCTGTGAAAGACATACACACACAAAAACAAAGATAAGCAGGCACAACCACAAAATGAAAAATTCTATAAATCAAAGGCCGTACTTTAAATGTGTATGATAAAAAATAAAAATAAATAAATAAATGTGTATGATAAATAATGAAATCTTAGGCTTAATACAATACTATAATGGATTGCTGGATTTTTATATTTCTCTGAAGAGAAACGTTCAGGATACAAATTACAATGCTATGGAAATAGATGAAAAGAAATTAGAGACTTTAAAAGCAAATGAAATATCAGATTGAATCATCTCTAAAAATGAAACAGGATTGCTCATCAAAACATTCTAAAAATGATTAACTTAAAATGTTAACTACAGTTTAGTGCTAAAATGAATAAACTTTTTCCTGTGCCACAATATAACATAGAAAGCTCTCAAGAGCTTCATGAAACAAAACCATTCAAAAAGAAAAATGGGGGAGGGGAAGGGTAAAAGGATCGGCAAGGAAACTGAGAATAAATGCAATCCACTAGCCAGTGGCTAAAGATTTAGAAGAGCAAGTGCATTTTGTTTTTACCGTCCTTGGAATGTGTACCCAACAGCTATGAAACAAAGAGGTGAGATGTGCTGCCACAAACACAAACAAAAATTTTGTTCTACTACTATATAAAAAGGAGGAGGTAGCTTTTCTTGCAGGGGAGAGATACAAGATTTAGAATTCATACCTTAAGTAGAGCTGGCATGTCAGGTAAAATTTGAAACTTTTGTATTTATATTCTGAATATTTCTGGAGCTTTCCAACGAGCTTATCCATATGGGGGAAATAAATTATATGCAGCAAGCCCAATTTATTCCTGTCTTTTCAGCAAACCAGATCTAACCTCAATCTACGTTTAAAAAGCTAGAATTGAAATAAGAAAGCTTATCTATTCCACTCTCTGCTGCTTCTTATCTATAGATCTCCAATTATACCACTTCATTTATGAGGATGGTATCATAATGTTCCTCTCTATTCAAACTTCTAGTATAACCTTAGGAGCCTTCAACATCTACATCGACGCCTACAGAGATTCAATAATAAACATCCTTTACTCCACTGCTAAGACTTGACCCTTTGTCATAACACTGAACAACCCTATCTCAAAAAATCATAACCTCCACCATTTTACTCTCTGATGATAACTTTCTCCCCTTCTACATCTCTCATGCCTTTATTTCCACTATCCTCAGAGAGATCTCCAGACCTAAAATTTCTCTATTTTCCATCAGCTCCCTAATCCTGGGCTCAATTCCTTTCCTACTGGCTCTACCACTAAAAATTGTGAATGTAAGTTACTTAATCTCTTCTTACCCGGTTTCCATATCTGTAAAATGGGAATAATAGTATGTATCTCATATTCTCTCATTTATTCAACAAGTATTTGAGCCTATTCTGTATGTCAGGCACTGAGAATAGCACAGACAACAAAGCATACCCACCTTGCTCTTATGGAACTTACATTCTAGAATCTTCTGTAACAACTATGGTTGTGGTGAGGGTTAAGAGTTAATATACGTAAAGAATAATGTACAGCACATAATTTGCAATATTTGGCACAGCTGATCATCTAAACTGCTCTAACTTCAAACAACTTGGTTTCCCTAAACTCACAACTTTTACTGTACCATCTGGTAAAACCTCAATCCTAGACTAATGTTACATTCTGATCTCCCCCACCAATTTAAGGCTTCTAAGGAAATCACAACGATATAGATTTGTTCCATTAAAAATGTGTGGTTTCTAGTCTTGCTTGGATCTTCAGGTTGGCCCACTGATTATTTCATTTTTTTCAGTTCCTTTTCTTATCTTTGTGGGGCTTCTTTTTCTCTACTTGACTCTGAAACACTTCTGTTCTCCAAGCTCCTGTCTTCTGACCTTTTTTTCTCTTCAGCCCACACACCTTCCCTTGATGGTCTTATGCTTTCAATCACCTCCTGCAAACTGATGAACTCTTCAAGCTGTATTTCCAGCCCAGGACCCCCATCTATATCCCACAGCATCAAGTTCAAAGGTTAACTGCCTTGTTAGCCTTCCTCCATTAGTGATGTCACAACCATCTTAAACTCAAAATATCCAAAACTGACTTCCGTTTGTCTCCTCAACTGATTATTCATATATTCACTCTGTTTGGTGTCATCGCTATCCCTGGAATCACCTCAGCTAGAAACTTTGGAGTTAATCTCGTCCATTTTTTCTCTCCCACTGGTCATTTCCAAGCATCGAGTCCTACTAAATTTACTATTTATCAACAACAAAAAAAGTACAGACTCTGAAATCTACTCCCTCTTCTCCATTTCTATTAAGTGTCAGTTTAAGCCCTCGTCACCTCTTATCAAGCTAACTACTTCCCAAATGGCCTCTCTGCCTCCAATCTTTTTCCCTTCAAATTTATCCTTCACATCAGCTATCAGAGTACTCTACTCAACCTGAATACAATCAAATTGGGCCCCTACTTAAAACCCTTCAATGACTGTCCAACTCACAAAAAGATGAAGTTCAAGCTCCTAAACATGGCATTTAAAAAGCTTCCATGATTTGGTTTCGTATCTCTCCAGACTCAACTCCAATCACTCTCTTACCCTTATCTCATACTCCTTCCAACAGAGATCTGCTTGTATGTCCAGAACATTCCATGTTGTTTCTCACCCATGTGCCTTTGCTCCTGTTCTCCTTTAGGCTATTCCTCTCTTCCTATTCCCCTGGGCCCTCTCATTTCAATGCTCATGCACTCACAATCAATATCTACCCTTCCTTGTCTCTCCCACTGACCTCCCTTTAGTATTCAGTTCAGGCATTATCTTTTCAAGTAAGCTTTCTCTGGCCATTCTTTCCATTTCTCTGTATTATAGTGACCATGCTTTATACAAGTGTCTGTTTTGTGACTGTATCCTTCATTTGACTGTGAACTCCCTAAGTATAGACCACAGCTTTACCTACCATTCCATCTCTAGCACTTGGCACAGTGCCTAGAACATGGTAGGCAAACATCACATGTTTGTAACATCACACTATTCAGTCTCATACCAATACCAAGTCATCAAGTACCAAATTGTAAAGTTACATAAAACTGAAGATCAGAAGCTGGATGATTTGTTTTTCTTTTCTGAATGTTAAGTGCTACTACTAAAATGCTATCAATGGGTCTTAAAGATTAGCTGCTACTCCATTCAACAAAAAACAGATTTCTATATTGCTAGAGTTTACCCTCTAAATGATTTCAAGTCTGTCCTAAAAAAGTAAGTTAGTAATTCATAAAATGTATCCCTAGGTGTTTTGACATCTGAAAAAAATATATCCTGTACCAAAAGCAGGATATGCTTGGTATGGAAAGGGAGAAACAACACTTGATGCCACAAACAATGCAATCATCCTAGATAATTCATTGAACCCAATTTTTAAAAGAAAAAATTTAATATGAATACACATGAACCTTACAGTAATGCACACAAATAAATTATGGAGTAACATAACAATTTTGCATTAATTTTAAAGATACAATCAAGAAATATTTCTCACTTTCTGAGAAACATTTCATGACGTTTATACCCCAAAATCTACCAGGGGTATAATTTGTTCTCCTGTGCTGTGTTGATATGGATTTATCTAAAATAACATAAAAATACCATATATTATATGACCTCCTCTCCCTAGTAGAGAAATGAAGCAAAACAAATAAGAGATGTGGGTGGTACACTGTCATAATCACCCAGAGCTCTCTGTGAACATCCCAAATTATCTGACTTGATGGTCACAGCTATAAACTGCTATAAACTATTTTATATAGGTTTTTTTTTTTTTTTAATTTGAGACAGAGTCTCTCTCTGTCGCTGGAGTGAGTGGTGCAATCTCAGTTCACTGCAACCTCTGCCTCCCCGGTTCAAGCGATTCTCCTGTCTCAGCCTCCTGAGTAGCTGAGATTACAGGTGTGCACCACCACACCTGGCTAAGTTTTTTGTATTTTTAGTAGAGAAGGGGTTTCACCACATTGGTCAGGCTGGTCTCGAACTCCTGACCTTGTGATCCACCCACCTCAGCCTCCCAAAGTGCTGGGACTACAGATGTGAGCCACGGCGCCTGGCCTTATATAGGTTCTTAACAAAATAAATGTCTACTTCACTGCAAGAGCTTTCCTTTTTATTTAAAAGTAAATAAGTCCTTACAATATGCCACACATGTGCAAAGAGACAGGAAATACTCTCTCTCAGAAGATTCTCTAAAAGTGAATTTAGGCCATATAAACCATTTCTGCTCTAAAGAAAAATCATTAACAGTCATGTGTTTTGCCTGTTAAAACCATGTGTCACTGAAAGTTAAGCTATTTAAAGTAGCTAACAAAAAGCACAAAGAGAAGCTGAAATTCTTAGAGATGTTTTATATCTATATATATAGTGAGCATATATGGCTACAGGATGAGATCTTCTCTCAAGAACTTCTACAGTAAATGCTCTAAATGGAGTGTGGGTCTGAATGGGTAAAGAACTATTACTCTAAAGGATTTGTCTGATTCTTCTCTCTTTGCCTGGTGCCTCACTTTAGACTACTACTACTAGTTTCTTCACAAATTACTTAGAATTTTCCCTGTTGACAGTCTAACTCTATTTTACTATGAGAATTTCCCAAAGGTATCATGTCAACATCCCTGAATCAAATATCACTCTCCCATAAATGATTTATACATCATTTATGATGTATAAATATCAAATTTATACACGCTACTGTTAAACTCTTATTTTAAATCATGACTCCATTAACCCACCTTTGGAAGAAGAAAGTACACTATCACCATTTGTGCATTACGGGTAGATCTGCAATCAGACTAACAGGTACTTTTGCCTATCTATTTTTCTCATCTCATGAACGTACGGACACAAAATTCATTGAAGAGTAAATCTAAGCAATGTCCAGCAGTGTGTAATTTACCAGTATTGCTTTTTACATTCTCAGATCAAACAAAGGGAATAATATAATTATTTCATCATAATCTGACAATATGCTGGCACCGCTCAAAAATAGTACCCTGTTTATTAAAGAACATTGAAATAGATGACATACTCCTCTTAGAGATCTACTTCATATGGTCTCTTACAGCTTAGTGGTTAAGTGCACAGACTGTGGAACCAGACTGCCTAGGTTTGAACACAGGCTCCACTTACTAGCTAAGTGACCTTACCCAACACTTTCCGTGCCTCAGTTTCCCTTTACCTATCAAAGATAGCAGGATCTTTCTCATAGGGTTGCAATGAATACTAAATAAATTAATATTTTAACGATATTGAGAATAGTGCCTGATACAAAAATGCTATTGTTTGATAAACAAAATAAAATGTAAATATTCTAAAATGAAATGTTATATCCACAAGTGCAATAGTAACACACATATTTTAAGTTAGAAAAAAATATAATAAGGTAATACCTTTCTCAAACTTCCTAAAAGGTGGTCAATAAACAGAAAATATGTAAAGGTAGAAGCCAAGTAAATTTAGTGACTACAAAAATATAAAAGAATTAAAAATGCCTATACCCCTAAAAATAAATGAATACATTTTGGAGTATCACACAACCAGGGTTAGAAATTATTATGCTTAGGCCGGGCGCGGTGTCTCATGCCTGTAATCCCAACACTATGGGAGGCCAAGGCAGGTGGATCATGAGGGTCAGGAGTTCAAGACCTGCCTGGCCAAGATGGTGAAACCCTGTCTCTACTAAAAATACACAAATTAGCCAGCGTGGTGGTGGGTGCCTGTAATCCCAGCTACTGGGGAGGCTGAGGCAGGAGAATCGCTTGACCGGGGAGACGGAGGCAGCAGTGAGCCGAGATTGCGCCATTGCACTCCAGCCTGGGAGACACAGCAAGACTCCATCAAAAAAAAAAAAAAAAAAAAAACAGAAAGAAATTATTAAGCTTTATCTGCTATATTAAATACAAAGATAGTATAAAATACTAAAGATACTCAAAAGAAATTGATTACATTTGAGAACTCACAAAAATTAAACATACGTACATAGGAAATACATGGCAAATACTGAGTTCCCCCAAAAATCATTCACTTTTATTTTTTCAGTTACTATTTTAGATTAAATGTTGATTATCAGTAGCCATAAATTACTATCAGTAATTATTAATATCAAACATTAAAGAATTCTATAAAATAAATTTAAGGTATAATAAGTAATACAATAAATATCTGAGTTCCACCATCGTTTTTTTTTAAACACACATTATCCTGACCTGTGATATCTACTCTGTGTCCAAATTCACTCATTCCTAAATTTTATGTTTATCATAGACTTGTATTATGTGTATTGGTATCCTTAAACAATATATTACTTAATTTTGCGTGTTCTTTGATTCTATATAAATGGAATCACACTATATTCTTCAGTGATTTGTTTTGTTCGAACATTATTTTCCTAGGATGATCCAAGTTGTTAAGCACAGGTGTAATTCATTCATTTTTCAGTATTGTGTTGCATTCCATTGTATAAATATACTACAATTTACTTATCCTATTATTTATTTTTTTGTTTTGTTATTGTGATCAGTACTGTATAAACAACTACATACATTACCTGGTATGTCTGTATAGAGATTTCTCTAAGACATAGGAATACTGGGTCATAGTGTTATGTGTATCTTCAACTTTAATAATGTGAAATTATTTCCCAAAGTGAATGTACCTACTTACATTAGCATCTGCAACGCCTAAGTGTTCAGTTGTTCCATGTCTATACCAACAGCAGTATTAGCTGGCTTCTAAGTTTTGAGAATCTAGGAGACATGAAATGCCTTCTTAACGTGGTTTTAATTTGCATTTCCCTGATTCCTAATGAGGTTGAATATCTTATAATACACTCCTTGGCCAAACGAGTTTATTCTTTTGTGAAGTGCCTATTCAAGCCCAGTTTTCTATCAGATTGTTCATCTTTATTTCCCTGGGTGGTAGATTTTGATATGTGCTAAATACGGGATTAGGCACTCTACAGTATCTATTAGTGAAACAAAATTCTTAATTTTGATGTAGTCATATTTGCCAATCTTTTGCTCTGTGTTTTATGCCTTTTTATCTTTACTCAAAGTCATAGAGATATTCTAGCCTATCATCTTTATAAAGTGTTACCATTTTACTTTACCTATACCTTTACCTTACCTACAGATTTAGATCTATAATCCTTCCACTGGTTTCTCTAAATAGTGTGAGGCAGCAGTCCAACCCCAATTTTTTCCATTTAATTAACCAACAACCCCAATTATTGAAAGGGTCATCCTATTTCACTCATTGGCAATCCCAGTGCCATCACAGATCCATTTCATGAATGAGTATCTTGCTATTATCTCTTAGTTCTTCCATGTAAGTTTTTGGATTAGCGTGTCAAATTCAACAAAAACCTGTCAATATTTTGATCAGATGGCACAGAACTTACAGATAAAATTGGGGAGAAATGGCACCATTACAATGTTCAAGTCTCCTTTTATAAACATGGTACATTATGCTATTTAATTAGATCTTTATGTCTGCCAATGTTTCATAATTTCTCCATAAAGATATTGAGCACGTTGTTAGATTTACTCACAGTGTTTTATACTTTTATGATGATATAATGCTACCTCTTAATTGCATTTCTATGCCAGCAAAAAGTCTGAAAAATAATTGAATTTGTATAATAATTCTGCATCCAAATTTAAACTTTGAGTAATTCATCTGTGAATTTTTCTGGGTTACACAGATAATCATATAATCTGCAAATAATAATAGCTTTTTCTTTCTAATCATTGTATCTTTGTTTGTTTACTGTACTAGCTATACTTCTAGTACAATGTTGACTAAAAGTGGCATTAGCAGGCACACTTGTCCTTTGATATCAAAGGGAACCAATGCCTTCAATACTTTACCATGAAGTGGAAAGAAGGTAGGGCTGGAAATTTTCTTTGGAAAAAAATGCCTTTATCAGGTTAAGAAAGGGGCCTTCTCATTTACTGACTTGCTAAGAGTTTTATCACAGATGGATCTATTGAGATGCTCACATGATTCTTTTCCTTTAAACAGATGATGTGGTAAATTCTATTAAGTGACTTTCTAATATAAAACCAACTTTGAAATTCTAGAGTAAACCCAACTTGGTTATGATGGGTTACTTTCTTACACATTATTGGTCAAGTACAGTAATTCCCCTTTATCAACAGGGCATACGTTTCAAGACCCCCTGAGGATGCCTGAAACCATGGATAGCATGGAAGCCCTATAAATACTATGTTTTTTTTTATTATCTGATGACCAAGACGGCTACCAATGGTAACTAATGGGCAGGTAGCATATACAGTGTGGATATGCTGGACAAAGGGAGGATCCACATCCTGGGCGTACAATTTAAAACATATGAATTTTTATTTCTTGAATTTTCCATTTAATATTTTCGGACTGTGATTGAGCATAGGTAACCACCTACAGATGGATAAGGGGGTACTACCATGTGATGATATCTAATCTATGAATTTTTGTACATAGGTCTGAGTTAAAGACAATCATCATTTTTTATACTTAGAGCTTCGTAAAAAAAAGTTGGGGACAGTCATTTCTTTTTCCAAACCATGAAATACTCTCTGTACAACTGGAATTATTGTTCCTTGAATGTTTTGTAGAATTTGCCAGTAAACCTGTCTAGAATTGGTATTTTTTTCTTTGTAAGAATATTTTTCCTTTTTGTTTTAAGGGTATTCCATTTTCTATTACTTCTTGGGCCAGCATGAGCTACATTTTTTTTTAGGAATTGGTCCACTTAATCTTTCAACTGCATTAAAATAAAGTTGATCATTCATGAAACACCTGTAGTAACATTCCCATTTTCATTCCAGATACTGCTTTATGACTTCTTTCCCCACCTATTAATCTTGCCAGTGGTTTGCTAATTTTGTTACTCTTCTCAAATAATCTATTTTTAGTTGCATTGTTTCCTTTTTGAATTACTTTTACTTTCTCTAGTTCATTAATTATTCCCCTGTTATTTCAATCGGGGAGTATGCTTTTTTTCTAATTCTTAAAATTGCATGTTTATTATTCCTCAACCTTTAGTCCCATAATATAAGCATTAAAATCTATAAATTCCCATTTTAGCTATACATAAGTTGTCGTGTACAATAATTTACTGCTATCATTACAAGTTTTTCTTTGATCCACAAGTTATTTTGAAATAAACATGTTAATTTCCAAAACACACACACACAAAATTTCTATTTAAGTTAATGGAATTGTAAACAGAAAGTGTAATGTGATGCCAATCCACTGAAATTTGTTAAAGCTGGCTGTATTTGACCAGAATGTGATCAGTTTTTCTAAGTGTTCCTCCTCTACTTTAGTTGTGGAATACAATGTTCCATACGTGTCCATTACAGCAGGCTTGTAAGTCCTGTTATTAAAATCATCTATATTTTTCTTAATTTTTTTCTGCTTGTTCTCACATTAACAGAGATTATTTTAAATAAGCTATAATAATGATAAATTTACCTATTTCTTCTGCAGTCCTAGTTTCTGCTTAATGTATTTTGAAAGTGTATTATCAGGTAGTCACTTATTTAAAATTATACCTTCCTTTTATAACTATTGAGTGACCCTCACTCTCTCGGACAGGTTTTCTGCCTCAAAGTCAACTTTACATGATATATATAGCCATACAACATTTCTATTGGTTAGTAGTGTCAGGAATATCTTTTTAAATCCTTTTTACTTTCAAGCGAGAATATGCTTTTTAAGGTATTGCTTGTAAACAGCATATAAATATATTTTGTTATTTTATCCCATCTAATAACCAGTTTCTGTTAAGTGGAGGATTTTTTCAACTCATATGCACTGTAATTACTAATATATTTGCACTTATTGCTGCTATGTACTTTTGTGCTACTTGTCTTCTCTTTTCCATGTTTTCTTTCTTCAGCTTCTTTACCTTTTTTTCAGATTGAATATTGTTTCTTGTTCTACTTCCCTTCTCTACTAGTTTGTAAGGTACACATACCTTCTAGATTTTTATTCCTTATCTTAGAAATTTTAACATGCGTTAAAACTTACCAAGCCTACCCGTAGCTAATCAATAATTTTACCCTCCTCCCAAGTTTTATATAATGTCTGTCTGAAACTAAACATATTTACCACTTCTTGTGTTCTTTATCCTTTTTACATTTCAGACCATCCATCTACAACTATTTTCCTTATCTGTGAGAATGTGGTGATCAGAAACTCAGAGAATGTAATGGTGGAAGTATGATCCAATACTGTTACTTGCACTGCTGACTTTACATTAAAGATATATAGCAATTCCCAGGCTCTATACAACTCAGGTGAAAATGAACAAGATGGGAGTGTTGCTGTGAAACCTTAAAATAGCTAACACCTTGCTTTCCTCTCCACATGCTTAATATACTGTCAAAGAATAGGCTGTGAAGATCTGCCTTACTGCTTTATACCATTTTTGAAATTAGTACAGTAAAACTCCTTTATCTATTAGCAAGAGGAAGATGATGTTCCCCACCAAAAAAGTCAGCTTAACTTGATAAAATTATATAGCATTTTATAACCATTCAGTTTCATTACTGTCACAGATAATACATAGGCAGGTTAAGCATGTAAACAAGGTATAGTAAAGTATAAACAAATACTAATGAAATGAGGTTAATTTTTAAAGTTTTGGTTAAAAAATACGCTATATAATAACATAGAACACAAAAGTCCCTGAATATACAAAGTAGATCACATGTGAAATGTTTAGAAAATTGATGCATAAATCAAGCACTAATTTTTACATGAGAATTATTAAACTTAAGAGGTTGAAACATGATAAAGGTATTTCCTCAGCAGCTGGTCTAAAAAAAGGCACTGGTTTTAATCTATCTTGTAGTATACAGCATAACCTCCAAAAAAACAGTGAACTGTTTCTATTCAAATAAAAACATATACCAGGCCTGAATTACAGCTATTCTGAATGAGAAACATTCAGGTAAATAAAGTTTTATTTTATTTATTAAATATCTATGACACAGAACTGATATCAAAGTACAATAACATGTTCACAAGGTGGAGCTCTATGCAGAACCATTAATAAATGCCAGAAATAATCTAGAAAATTAACTAGTAATAGTGAATGAAGAGTATTTTATGTCTTTGGAGAGCCATAATTGATAGAAGTAAAAACATTTTATTCCATAGGTTTGTAAATCCACAACACATTTGTTTGCACTGATTTACTGATTTGAGAAAAGGAAAAAAAAATATACAATTCCCCCTAACAGTGCAGGGACTAGAAATGCACAGCCAAACTTGGTGCACAGATACCAGCCACTATAACGTAAGGCTGCTTATGCTTCTAGTAGCGTAAGTCTTCTACTAATTTATGGTGGTGGTAGAAGTGGTAGTGGCAGCACCATTTCGAAGCAATTACTATGCAAATCTATTAGTATTATCAGAATAGATAAGCAAAAACTCAGGAAAGCAGGATACATCAGGTTTTACAACTTTTTTCACTTTTAGTAAAGCAAGCATATATATTCTTAAATTTTTAATCATATTAACACTGAGTATATAAAGAAACATAATATTATAAATTACTGTATATAAATGTAATCATGTCACTCTTTGCTTCAAGACCTGTGGTAATTTCCCATCATGTCCAAGATAAAATCTAAATTCAGGAAAGCAATATAAAGCATTTTTTCTTCATTTGCTTACTATCCAATTCTCCAGCCTCATCTCTAGCCATTCTTCCGCTCACCCTACAGTTTTACCAAACGTGACTTGAGTCCCACAATATGTGTGTGCATGTGTGTTATGCCTTTGCACATAATATTCCCCCTGTATGGAATATTATTTTCCACTAGGATATTTTACTAGGATAACCCACACACATACTTTAAGACTTGGTTTAAGCACCATCCCCTCTATGCATATAAGACAGAATATCACATCAGTTACCAAACTGTATTCTAAAGGTTTCTTTCCTCATTTTTCTTCCCTACCACACTATAATCTCCTTAGGGCAAGGTACTACATCTCTCATCTTCAGGGTCTCATTACCTTGCATACAATAATCCATCATATTCATCCCACAGATGAACAAACATAGGCCCAGATAAATGGAATTATTTTCTCAATTTCAGAGGCCAAATAATGGCAGATTCAATATTAGAATTTAACACTTCGGGCCAGGCGTGGTGGCTCACGCCTGTAATCCCAGCACTTTGGGAGGCTGAGGCAGGCAGATCACGATGTCAGGAGATGGAGACCATCCTGGCTAACACGGTGAAACCCCATCTCTACTAAAAATACAAAAAATTAGTCGGGCATGGTGGCACGCGCCTGTAATCCCAGCTACTCAGGAGGTTGAGGCAGGAGAATCACTTGAACCCAGGAGGCGGAGGTTGCAGTGAACCGAGATGCCACTGCATTCCAGCCTGGGCAACACAGCAAGACTCCGTCTCAAAAAAAAAAAAAAAAAAAAAAAAAAGAAAGAAAGAAAAAAGAAAAGAAAATGAAATTTAAGACTCCTTCCCAGTTCAATGCTTTTTCTATAAATGCACCTAAGGATACCAGCTCAGAAGGAATTATGCATTAATATACAGAACGTTCAAGACAGACACAGAGCTAAAAGGAGTATTAAAAAGCGAGATCTGTAAAAACAAAAATAAGGCACAGGTTACTTATAACGAATTTTCAAGGAATAGGAATAGGTGATAAAATAAAACAGAAAAGTTAAAAAACTATCTTAAAATAAGAATTACATAGGAATAAGTAACATCTATATTTTCTAAGAAATGAAAGAAATAAATATAATAAACCCATCTGTAATCAACTTATCAAAGTTAAAAGTAACTAAAAACTTTTTCTTTAGCTATAACAAAGTGAGGAGGTAAAATATGTAGCCAAAAATCAGTAAGATCAAGCATTTATCTCAAGGAGAAAACTACATCCCTTAAAAACTCAAGATAAATGTTAGGTTTAAACAAACTCCCCATCTAAAGATAAAAGCTACGGAACATGAAAATGAATTGGTATAGTGCTAAATTCCTTAAAACCTTGTAGGAAATAAGAAACCTTGAAGACAACACTCGCATTCCCCTAACTAGGGCCACTCTCCTTAGGCATCTTTCTCTGAAACTGTATCCTCAATAAAGTATATTTCAGTGAATTAAAATGTGTCAAGGACATGAAGAACCTTGAAAACCCCAACTAGGCACAATGTACTCACTCTCAGTTAAAAATGTTCAAAACCAGGGAAGTAGGACTTGTGTTCCTCTATAATCCTGAGCTTTGGGTATTAGTTGGGCCCTGAGAAACATTTTTAAAAATTTCAAATAAAAATTCTTATGCCAAATTCTGGTGAGTTAAGACCAAACATTAACCTGAAATGGATTACAGACCTAAATGGTAAAGCTATAAGCTTCTAAAAATACATGGGAGAAATCCTGAAGATCTGGAATAGGCAAAGATTTCTCAGAAAGGACACAAAGCTTAAATGAATAAAATTATGAATTAAACTCCATCAAAATTTAAAGCTTTGGCACTTCAATGGTACCATTAAGAAAACTGATAAGCCAACAGAAAGAGAGAAATATCTTTAATACTTGTATCCAACAAAAAATTTTGGTCCAGAATATACAAAGAACTCTTACAACTGAATAATAAAAAGACAAACAATCCAATTAAAAATGGACAAATTATTTGAACAGACAGTTCACAAAGGAAAATATACAAGTGGCCAATACATACACCAAAAGATCTTCAAACATCATTAGTCACCGGTGAAATCCAATCAAAACCAAAATGATACTACCACTCATCTACTAGAATGGTTAAAATTAAAAACATGGACAATTGTTTGCAAGGATGTGGAACAACCAGAACTCTCATACATGGCTGGTGGAAATGTAAAAATGTTTGTTACAAGCAGTTTGCAATTTTGCAGCTTCTTACCAAGTTAAACATATACTTACTATATGTACTTAGAAGTACAGTTACCTGTACTATAACTGTACTCTTAAGTATTGACTCAAGAAAAATGTAAGATATATATGCATATAAATTTTATGTAAATGTTCACAGTAGCTTTATTCATTAGAGCAAAGAACCAGAAACAACCCAAGTTAATAGTTCCACTGCAGGTGAATGGCGACACAAATTGTGTATTTGGTGATATAACATTCATACAATGGAATACTACTCAGCAATACAAAAGGAATGAGCTACTGATACTTATTAATTTTGATAATATCCTGTGCAAAAGAAGGTGCACAGAAAGGACATACTGCATGATTCGGTTTATATGAAACTCTAGAAACATTAAATCTAACCTCTAGTGACCAAAAGCAGATCATTGCTAGGGGGCAATAGGTGGGGAAGATTGGCTGAGATTAAGTACACAAGAACTCTTTAGGATGATGGAAATAATGTTCTATTACATCTTGACTGTGGTAGCAGTTACACATGTATGCAAGTATGTCAAAACTCTATCAAAATGTACATGCATAGTGGTATATCTTATTGTATATAAATTATACCTCAATTAAGTTCACACGCACACACACACACACACACCAGGGTATGGTTTTAACTTTTGGCTTAGAATAGTCCTGATCTATACCATAGGAACACAGTAAGACAGCCATCTTCTTAAATACATTCCCAGCCAAATGGATATATGAGAAGGTGCAGACTCCATGTTGCTTAGACTATTCAAATATAGAATGCACAGCTTTTATTCCTTGGACTTGAGTTCTTTGATTTATGTAACAGAATAACAATGGGACATTATCCTTGAAGTTCATGTCAATGTTATACATAAAAGTGATATGGTAAGGTCTCTCTCATATAATGGCCCTTAAAAAGATCCAAGGAATCCTTCCTAAAGCTGAAAGACATACCAAAAGTAGCATTAAGATGAAGCTTCAGTGTCTATTGATCATTTAACAGCTTTGTCCAAGGTCTGAACTAAGCAATGTTAAATGTCAAAGTTACAC
The DNA here is from genome assembly GCF_000001405.40 of Homo sapiens. Classification (NCBI taxonomy): domain Eukaryota; kingdom Metazoa; phylum Chordata; class Mammalia; order Primates; family Hominidae; genus Homo; species Homo sapiens. Next base: position 31,328,572 of record NC_000010.11, on the reverse strand, counting down.
AAACAATGTACAAATTTTACAGCAACCCCCTTTCAGATGGTAGTTACATTAGCTGGAGTTAATACTGGTCAAAAGGATAAAAAATTGTCAGCTGATCCAAGATATATTTAAAATAAATAAGTAAAATTTTAAATGAACATGTGTTGAAAACTTAAAACATGTATTAGGCACAATGCGTCATATGCTTCATTTAAACTTTCCCAATTCTTAGACTGTCATGTCCAATTTACATGCAGAGAAACTCAAGCATAAAAAGACTAAGTAACCCGGCCAGGGTGATAGGTAGTAAGTTACAGGATCAACCCAAACTCTTAACTGCTATACTTGTTCCTCTTAAGAAAGGGTGTATTCAAAAGGTGAACTCCTGATGCATTAGACATATAAATACAAAAAATACAACTAAGAAACTAATAGAAGAAAATCCAGGAAAATATCTTTATAATCTATAGATTAGGAAGGACTTCTTACTACCCATAAAGTCAAAATTTTGACATTAAAATTAAGGATTCCTGTACCAAAGTCAAATGACTGAAACGTTGGGGATTATCATCTTAAATACACAAGAGAAATGGAAATCTATCCAAAAAGAGGGGTAAAGGGTATGAATAGGCCAGATATGGAAAGGGAAACCCAAACAGCTAGCAAGGATATGAAGAAATGATCAACCTCCCTAATAAACAGAGAAACATAAATTAAAGCAACTATCAGATTATATTTAGCAACTGAAAAATTAGCAAAATGTAGAATGTTGTACAATACCGAAGGCTGGCAAAAACGTGAGAAAATAGTTCTTTTACATTGTTGGTGAGCGTAAAAAATGGTGTTGCTGTTTTTAAAATAATCTGACAGAATTTAGTAATTATTAAATATGTGATTGACCTATACTCAGCAATACTATGTCTGGACAATACCATGTCCCTAGATATGGTAGTGCTGAGAAACTCTTCCACAGCCATTAGCAACACGTAGGAGGATGTTTATTACAGAATTATTGGTATCTAAGAATTGGAGTCAATCTGGGAATCTGCCATTAGGGGAATTGATAGGTAATTTGTGCTTACTACATAAATGAACTACTGCAAGGTTAAAAGCAATGAACTAGCTGTACATATAGCAACATATCTAGCTATCAAACAATGCTAAGTAAAGAAAGTAAATTATATGTCAGGTGCAGTGGCTCACACCTGTAATCCCAGCACTTTGGGAGGCTGAGGCAGGTGGATCAGCTGAGGTCAGGAGTTTGAGACCAGCCTGGCTAACATGGCAAAACCCCATCTTTACTAAAAATACAAAAATCAGCCAGGCATGGCGGTGTGTGCCTGTAATCCCAGCTACTTGGGAGGCTGAAGCGGGAGAATCACTTGAACCTGGGAGACAGAGGTTGCAGTGAGCTGATATCGCGCCTTTACACTCCAGCCTGGGTGACAAGAGTCAAACTGTCAAACTGTCTCAAAAAAAAAAAAAAAAAAAAAAGAAAAGAAAAGAAAAAGAAAGTAAATGATAGAGCAAAGTAGCACTTATAGCACTTATGTAAATACAAAACACACAAAAGAGGTACAAAATTTTACAAGGCTAGCTACAAAACCAACAGCATATAAAAAACATATTAGATTGGGTCCAAGGTAGGAAGGATAGAGTGAATGGGAGCTGAAATTGGGAATAGTGACCAAAAGTATAATCCAAATGAGAGGATGCCTCTAAATAATACTAATGCTCTGCATCTGAAATATTTTAAGTGATATAACTACATCAACTACTAAATTTGACAGATGTATGCATATGTATTAGAACTTGCCTTTGAGATGATGAAGCATTCTACACATTTTGGTTTTAAGTATAATAAATTTGAAAATTCATGGTATCTAGTTCTTGCTTGTTACCGTCTTAGATAAATATGCTCAAATGACCTAATGAAAAGAATACCGAACTAGGAACCCAAAAAGCTGTGACCTAGTCCAAGCTAACTAGTAACATAAACTTGGCAAAGTCATCTTATCTCTTTGACTGTCTGCTTTACTGCAAAATGGCTTTGGATGATTCTCCCAAATCTCTCCAGTCCAAAATTATTCCACTTCATTTTCTTAATGAATATTTATTCATATAAAGTTATTTTTTGTCTACTCCAATTCCTCCTTCCTTTACTTTCTCCCTCCCAAATAAAGCAAAAGCCAAGTGTATCAAAAGAGATTCAGAAAAGTGATGTAGCAATAGGAGCAAATAGCAACTTAACTTTAGGGTAGAAAGGAGAAAACGTTAAAGAGATACAGTGATTTTGACAGCCTTTTCAAGTATTCAAGGCAGAGCAAGGTTACCCTGAGCCCAGGTTCAGAAAATCTACTCCTTGAAGGATTTCACTACATGTTATTCCATATGTCACTGTATCTGCCTGGCATTACCCCTTCTTAAAACACACATTAAAGTCTCTTCTAGAGTTTCTACTTAAAGACCCTAAATTTCAGCTTATCTGTGTCAGTTTTCAGATAAAAAGTTATTTTGGAAAAGATGAATCTTCCATATTAAAAATATATGATTCCAAGAAAATGAGTTTTTTTCATCAGCAAACTAGTTACACTCAGCACTATCTACTTAAAAAAAAAAAAAAAAACCCAAAACCAAACACTCTGCTAGAATTGTGGATTAAATGAATACAAAGACCTTAAGAGTAAGGGAAATCAGAATATATTTTAGGCCGTGAGCATGAATAGTAACAGATATATAAATAATGGTGTCATATTTTATTAAAAGATAATTGAAATCAGAGTACTTAAAATATCTTAAACATTTAAAATTAGAATATTTTAAAAAGAGAAAACAGAGGACTTTCAATATAGAATAAAACAATAAAAAGAAATTAACATAATTTATAAATTTATCTTCCATTCACATTTAATTTTAAATCTGAATGGGGGAGGGGAAGGGAGAGGGAGGGAATTAAGAGATCACAAAACATCTGTTATGAATAATTTCAGCACAGATGTAGTTGTTACTGCAAAAGAGATGAAGGTTTTCCCAGGTTGCCATACTGTAAGGTTTTCTACAAACATAGTTCATACCTCAACCTCCATGTACCAAGTCTCAATAAATACATAATGTTGATTAGGAGGAGAAATGTGCATATGGACAGATAAATGCAATCCCTATGTATAGAGGGAACGTGTATTAAACAACAGGGAGCTGTTTGAAGAAAGAGAAAAGTAACTTTGTAGAGAATGAAAAAAGCTTAAAGTTTCACAGCTATAATACAAATAGACACTTGAATTCAATTTTTTGCTTTTCCTTTCATAATCTTTCCATTTATCTACATCCATATTATATAATCCAAAAATATGCTTTAACAAAATTAATGAAGTTCTAAAAATTAAGTTGTTTTCTCTGAAAACAATCATAAAGCAAATTTTACTTATTAGAGAGCATTTTGCTACTTAAGTACTGTATTATATTGCCATCTTTTTAAGCAACCCAGTTTTAAGTTAACAGCGTAACCCACCTCCATCAAGGCTAAAATCCAGACATGCTCATAACATATTGAAATTTTTATTTAGTAAAACTAATGTCCTAAAGATGTTTCCTTTAGTGACATAATACTCAAAACACTGCCCCATGCAAAAGAATGATTAGTTTATATGGCAATGCCTACATAATAGATCAAATTTAATTTTAACTAGGGTTGCTACAAAACTTTCTCTACTACATATATTTCTACTTGCTTACTACTTTTAGTTCATATCTAGTTGAATGATTATTTAGCCAGTAATATGTACAACATCTACCCTTTAAAAAGTAGTTTAAAAAATCATTTTATCATATTTCCTAATCAGGACACTTTTTCTAGTTTAAAATTTTTTGAGTTTTCTTTCAACAATGGACTTTTATTTTAGCTTATATCTCAATTAGAAATAAAGAGCATGCATTTCCACATAAATTAGTGACTGTACTGCAAAGAAACCTTTTTCAATCCTATTTCTACAGCTTCAAGTTTTCTAACCTCTCGCTGTACTCTTGCACACTAATGCATATCTTCTTCCAACATCTGCATGATTTTTCTCCTCCTCTGCTGCAATTCAATACAGGTAGTTAAGAGTAGCTAACAATATAATTCCACATGATACTGCATCTGTGTTTACATCTGGCTCTAACCACATGCTTAAAAGTGATTTATACAGGTAAATCCACAAGAGGATAAAGCAAAAGAAAAACACAACTATGAGAAATCATTATGCTCTTATTTTAAAAATATCATTCTCAATTTAACAGAAGTTTCTCAGCACATGCTTCAAAAGCTACTACATAGGAGGTATGCCATTTCAAACATACTAGAGACTAGAGAAAGGAAGAAAACAGTATTAAACAAATATTTCACATGCTTTTTATATCAGGGTCATCTTCATAAACGATTAATATTTTCAATTTATAAGATACTTTAAGTTTTGCTCCATGCTACAATGTATCTCGTGACTTTGTGGCAAAGTTTCTGAGTTCATAAACATTTAAGTGAATCACACCTATTCACTACTGAGCCCTCAGGAATTAGAATACTAAATTCAAGAAATACCTGTCAGGAAATGAAAAACTATTTACACACACACACACACACACACACACACACACGAAGAACCATGACATCCTAAAATAAGAAATTAACACAGGCTTACCTGGCAATTCAATACCTACTTAGTTCAAGATAAACAGTATGGCTATTCCATTACGGTACTGATATTGATGCATTTATAAAAACACCACTAAAAATAATTAAGGAAATAAATACTTCTAATGTTCTACCTAATGAGAGGCTTAAAATTTACAGTTATATTAATATACCTATAAGAACACAAAATGAAAAGACATAACTAAATACAGTCTCATGCAATTATTTATATGCAATTTATATAGTTTCTTGAAAGGAATTATTTAAATACAAGCATACAGCAACGTACGAACTACAGAGTTTTACTGCATATAAGATCTCAAAGCAAACTTATATTCCTTAATTACAACTGACAAATTTAAAACGTATGCACTCACTGATTCTTAACTAAAAAGGTGGGGGAGGGCTACCAGTAGGAAAAGACCTGAAGGGGAAGGAAAAGATAAAATCTAAAAATCACTAACATCTAAGTGACTGCTAGTTACCACCTCCGTTAGTAGCTCTCTGCCAACCCATCCATAGTCTAAGTCTACATAAGTTATATAAAAATAATTACACAGTATTATCAATCAATTGTAATTTTCCTTGCTACTCTTAAACTTTGACCATTTTAGATGTATTTTAACATCTAAAATATATATTTTAAGGGATCTTACTATGAATTTTAAAAAGGGGTGATTAAAAAGTATTCTAAATATGCAACATAAATATGGGTCAATTATTACATATTCTTCTCCAAACCTAAGAACATAAAACAAAATCTTTTTAAAATAAGGAGTAATACAACTGCTCTAAAACAAGAATGAATTAACAGCAATCTCAATTAGAGACTTAAATAACTCAAATTTATAAAATTATTCAAGTTAAAACAGTCCTGCTTCTTTCTAGTTTCGGCAAACTAGAAAATGCTTATGCCTAATTTAACCAAGGCTAGTTTTAAGTAACAATAAGACTCAGAATTATACTGAAGGTCCCAATCAGCACAGTCGATAGAGAGACTTATGATGCTACCACACCAATAATCATTTTTGTTAGCATCCTCTACTGGTGGTTTCCAATGACAGCAAGGGGAAATGGTGCTGATGACAGAAGGATATGTACCTTCTATTCCATCTAAAGAGAATTAATCAGCATGTGGTCATTAGTAGAGTACATCTCTCTCTCAAAAAAAAAAAAGGTAGAACAAGAAGAAAACCACATAGAAGAAAGCAGAAAAAGAAAAAGACAGATTTTTTAAAATGCAACAAAGCATGAAATTATAAATGGTAAAAACTAATTCAAGCAATTCTAATGTCACTCCTTTACGGATGACTAACATCATTAAGTTACCACACAAGGTTTGATGCTTTGGCCAAACCTTACTCAATTGGTTTACCCCTGTCAGTTACATTACCTGATACTCCTTTTAATATCCTACCTTCAGACATATTCCAGAAAGGAAATTAAAATATTTTACAGAAGGCTTAGCAGCAAAATCCACGTATCTTATTTCAAAATGAATAAAACATTATTTACATATATAACAACATAAACTATCTCTACGACAATCTTCCACTGTATATATCACATATTTCTTCATTAAAAAGATTTGAGAGTTAACGTTTTGCCAGGCAATTTTCTCCAATAAACATCTGCAACTTAAATATGACTGCACTGCTAAGAAATATTAACCAGCACATATACTGAGGTTTCACAACACAATGGAATATAACTTCATTTTTAATTTGCAAAATATAAGGCTAAATCAAATAGCATGGCTATAATCACCAGCAATGGATGAAATGCATTTGAGAACAAAAAGAAATACAAGGACAGAGCCAAAAGTGATGAAAATGGAAGATACCTGTAGTAGTACAGTGCTATCTTAAACACCTTTTGTTTTCTGAGAGTAATGCATACTGCAGACAAGACGTTTTGTGCTAAACAGACGCAAATCTGTTTTTCTAATATTAAACACAAAGGAAAAACACTGACAGCAAGCGTGGTAAATAAATCCCTCCCTTGAGAATGAAAGCAGCAGACAGGAGGGGGCTGACATACATGCAGGAGAAAACTAAACACCATCTTTTTTTCTACCTGCACAAGTTGCCATTTGCTGCAGCGATCAAGAACCTCTCTTTCCTGTTGATTTCAAGTATCTTTCAGGATCGCTTTTCCCCCCTTAAGTCATCTGTTGATATGCCTTACGAGTGTAATATTCATATCACAGGATCTCAAGGAGAAAAATCCATTCTTTCCTGTTCAGGTAAACATGTTTACAGCAGCTGCACAGACGCTGGGTGGTTCAGACTCACATGTCACACACATGTCGTCAGCAACAAGAAAAGCCCCTTTCTCTGGCGATCAACATTTTAAATAAGGTAAAAAGCGAACAGCTCTTTCCGAACCAACTTACCTTTCATAAAGCCACATCAGCAACAGCGGCAACAGCTCAATATGGAACACACACTATTTGACGCTAAAACAGGAAATTAAAATTGCAATAGCCTATGCTCCACTCCTTGCTATAACAAGTCATCTCTCCACAATGAGAATACCAAAATACCTTTCGTTTATAATCAACAGACGTCTTTAAAATGCAAGTGTTTATTTGAATAATTAAAATCACGAAAGCAGTGATTTTAATGATGGCTCGAATATATTAAAAATATAATTATGGATTGGAAGGAAACATCTTGAAACAGCTTAAAAATCTTCGTATCTGCTTCTAGACAGGAAATCCCACACAAAATCTAAAATTGCCAGGAAAGGTTACAAAACCTCGCGTTTCGCATCCCAGAGGGGAGGGAGAAAGGGAGCCCAGGCGCGGGGGGTGGGGCTGGGGGAGCACGAGAGAGTTTTCTCCTAAACACGTATTTCCTCGTTTTCTCGACGCTGCAGCGGTCCCATTATAGACGCATTTATTGCCCCTCTCTTAAAAGTCGTTTTAAAAATAACGCAGGAACCAAAGCGAGCCCCTCGGTCCGAAATGTACGTGTAATTCCTTATATAGCCTGGGCTGCGGCCGGCGGCAGGGCCGTTGCCGCCCATTATTATACAAACAGGTACCGGGGCGGCGCAGGCGGGGGCTGCTCTCCCTGCGCTCCCGCCGCCCCCGGGCGGACAAGTCTCGCCCCTCTCGCCACAGGAACTGTCCAGACAATAACAATCAGCAGACATTTCGCTGCTGCACGAGAGGGAGAGAAAGCATAGCATCGCCCCGAGATAACCAGAAATACAATCAACTTACAACGTCTCTCCAAACTGGAAAAGGCGACTGTGCAACCACCACCACATGTTCAGGTCTCGATCCCTCGGGCTGTCTCTCTTTTTTTTTAACTCTCACGCCAGGCAGAGGGGTGTGTGTTTCCCTTGGCACAGCAGCACAAATCAATAAACACTGCAGCTGCGGTGCAAGTAGCAGCCCCGCGCGTCCGTCGGTCCGTCCGCCCCCTCCCCCACCCTCCTTCCACCCGAGACCCAGAGCGCCATCCAAGCCCCATTATCCGGCTTCAGCGCTCCGTGCGTCCGGCCCAGGTAACAACTTCCCCAAAAACCGAAAGAGAAAAGCGCGAGGCGCACGCACACCGGCCCATCCCGGCGCAGAGACCTCGTCTGCCCCGGGAGGGGGATCTGTCTGTGGTGCTTCCCGGTCTCTAAGCCCAGGTAACAACTCCGCAAACACACCCGCCGCCCAGCTCGCCCCCATCCGCGCGGCTCCCGGCGGCGTTAAGTGGGTACCTTTCCTGCCTTGTTCCCCGCGCCGCCCCGCCGCGCCCCGCCAAACGTGGACCCCACTCGCGGGGCTCGCCGCGGAGTCCCCAGGCCGGGGCTCTGGGCCGGGCAGCGGGAGGCGCCAGGGAGGAGGGGCGCTTAGGGACCCGCGCCCCCGCGCCTCTAATCCCCGTTACGCGAGCGCGCCCGGCCCGCGGGTCCCAACTTTACCGCCGCCGGCCGAACCCTGTCCGCCCGCGGCGCGCACAGCCGGCGCCCGCGCACACGCGCGCACAAACCCCACGCAACCCGCGGCCGCCCCGTCCCGCCGCCGCCGCAGCCCGCCTGCCGCGCGCCCACAGCCCGGCCCGAGTCGCGGGGCCCGAGCGACAGCGACGGCGCCGGCCGGGGCCGCGGCGCGCGGAAGCCACTTTGCACGGTCAGCGCCGGGCACAAGTTTGTTCCGCGGCTCCCGGGGGCCTGGGCGCTGAGGGAGAATCGCGCTGAGGGGGCCAGGAGGAGGGGGAGAGGGAGGCGCCGAAGGGCACAAGAGTGGGGAAAAGTGCGGAAAGAAGCAACAGCCGCTCCACCCGGGACCAGAAAAGTGGCCAGTGCGTCCCGGCCGCCCGCCCTGCGCCGGGGATGCGGCGGCGTCGGCGCCGGCTAACGGTCCAGGGAGGCGGCAGGGGCGGCGGGAGCCGCTAGGCGGAGAGAGACCAGGTAAGAGACATAACGGTTCAGGGAGAGCGAGCGGCCGCGGCGCGGCTCCGGCAGCGGCGGCAGCGGAGGGGGGCAGAGAGCACTACTTTCTACTTTCCCACTCCACTTTGCCGTCCCTGCCCCGGCTGCCCCCAGCCCGGCTCGCCCCCCTCACCCCCGGGGGCGCCCCGGCTGCCCAGCTCCCCCTGACTCCGCCGCTCCCCGGTCCCCTCCGCCACTCACCGTTATTGCGCCGCGGGTTCGCCTGCTTTCTGCGCTTACACCTGGGGCCATCCGCCATGATCCTCTCGCTTGTGTCTAAATGCTCGAGTCACCTCCTCCCCCTCCCTCCCCCTTCCCCCCCACCCCTCCGCCTCCACCCCTCCCCCCTCCCCACCGCACCTGGTTTACGACACTCCCGGCTTTACGACATCACCTTCCTTACACCTAGAGGCTCTCGCTCTACGGCCGGAACCTTGTTGCTAGGGACCGGGCGGTTTGCGGCAACCGTGGGCACTGCTGAATTTGAATTGAGGGGCGAGGGAAAAGTTTTCCTCAGGTGTGGTGGGGAGAGGGAGGCGGATGCCGGGAAACCGTAGGGACGCGGTCAGAAAGGCGACGGGCTGTCGGAGTTGGAAAGGTAAAGTTGGAGGCTCGGCGGCGTCCTGCCTCCGCGCTGGCCACACCCGCCGCGGCTGCCCGGGGCAGGGAGGGATCTGGCTGATTCTCCCTGTACCCTGTGCCCTCGGAGCTGCCCCTCCGAGCGCCCAGAGGTCCCCGCCTGCCTGCTTCCTGGAGGCAGGGCTACCATCAGTCCCACGCCTCGCGTGTCCGCCCCCCGCACCCCGGGGCCAAGGAAAGGGATCGCGGTCTGGACTCCCCGGGGAGTTCCCTTGATGAGGGGAAGGGCAGGTTTGGGGACGGCGAGGACACGCGGCGACCGGAGAGAGGCTACCTGACCCGCGCAGCCCGGACTCCCTTCCCTTCCCTTCCAGGGACGCCTGGTTTCCCCCCAAGCGAACCGGGATGGGAAGTGACTTCAATGAGATTGAACTTCAGCTGGATTGAAAGAGAGGCTAGAAGTTCCGCTTGCCAGCAGCCTCCTTAGTAGAGCGGAATGAGTAATACCCACACGGTGCTTGTCTCACTTCCCCATCCGCACCCGGCCCTCACCTGCTGTCACCTCGGCCTCCCACACCCGGTCCGCGCTCCCCGCCCTCTTCCTCGCGTAGAACCGTGGGATCCTAGGTGGCAGGACTCAGAGCTAAGGTATCCACAGGCCATGAATTCCTTCCTAAATGAGCGGTCATCGCCGTGCAGGACCTTAAGGCAAGAAGCATCGGCTGACAGATGTGATCTCTGAACCTGATAGATTGCTGATTTTATCTTATTTTATCCTTGACTTGGTACAAGTTTTGGGATTTCTGAAAAGACCATACAGATAACCACAAATATCAAGAAAGTCGTCTTCAGTATTAAGTAGAATTTAGATTTAGGTTTCCTTCCTGCTTCCCACCTCCTTCGAATAAGGAAACGTCTTTGGGACCAACTTTATGGAATAAATAAGCTGAGCTGTATTTCAAGTAATATAGTTATAAATTAACAATGTAGCAGTTATTGATAGAGAAATTGAGAAAACTGAAACGTGACCGGAGTATTGGAAATAACGTAGTACATCACCTAGCACAATGACACATAGTAGGTGCTCAATAAATTTATGCTTATAATTTTTGTCACTTCTATGGCAGGATTTTTTTATTAGGTTAAAATTATCTTTTAAACACCTTCCGGAATTTTAGAATATTCATTAATAATGTCTTCAAACCTTTCAACTGAAATAAATTTACAGCTGAAGTCTGATGATTTAAAGTTAGAAAGTTTAATCTTGAATATAAATGAACATTTTCTCTCCCACATTTTCTTGGGCATTTTGAGAAGTAAATGCGTTATTTATTGGTCCATGAAATGTGACTGTAAATATTCTTTGCTATACATTATGTCTATATATCTGCATTCATCCTCAATGCCAAAACTAGAATCATTAGTCTTAATGATCATTTTAAGTACAGGCAGTCCTCGCTTTCCTTGATACCATGTTAACCGAAACTTGTGTATGTCAACACGGTGTCCTTGCTTTGCTTGGTTAAGTGTGAGTTCTTCCTCCCTTTTTTTAAGAGTTGTACAATGTTTTTCAGTCGCCTACCGAATCAGGTCATAGACTATGGAATTGACCCCACCCCACCAACATTTTTACAGCTACCCTGATTTCTGACCAGAAAGGAAAAAAAAACTTTCCAGCTCTATCACACATTTTACCTACTCTTAAACTTAGGAGGTATTACAAATAGCATTTTCTCATGTTCTCTTTCTGGCCTGTACCTCCCTGCTAAGCTTCCTTCAGTGTTCATCCTCACCTCATAGAGAGATGAAGTGAAGAGACAAACAGAAGTCATTTTCTTCCTTACTTTAGTGGTTTCTGGTTTAGTTAGTTTGGGCCAAACTGTGGACAAGTACCTTTTCAGGTAACTTTTTTTTCTTATTTCTATGTCCTCAACACCTAGTGGAGTACGTAGCCAATAGTAGATGCTTAATAAACATTTCTTAAATTAATATTGTTGACCTTTTCTGACCCTGTTCTTGACAGTAAGGTACATAATCTGCCTTCATCCCTTTAGTCCTTAGGAACAGATAAAGTCATGGATATGAAAGTGATCACTGTCATTAATATCCACATTAAAATTGCTCTTGATTTTAGTTTCTCCATAATCATTTTCCCTAAACAATGAACTCTGTTCACCTTTTTTTTTAAAATATGCACAGTGAATATTACTGGTAGCCCAAATCTTCTAACATAAAATTTCCATTTTGTAAAAGCTTCTGATAAGCATATATGTTATGAATTGAATGTTTGATTATTATACTTTAATATTCTTGAAAATATTGATACCTGGACTGGAAAGAAAACAGACAAAAGTAAATCTCAGAATAAATTACTGCTTTAAACATGATGCATGTGTGACGGTTGCTTCTTATCTCTTAAATACAGCTAAAGAATAGGGGAAAAATCTTTAGAATCAATTTATAAAAGAAGATTATTAAAATTTAGGTTTATTCAAATCAAACGGTAGGGGATACTAATATATGACTTTAACATGTATCCTGCATTCTTGGTTTTAGTAATTGTAGTGCTGTCATACAGCATACATTCAATATATATGCTTATTTTTAATATGTCAATGAAATGTTAACACACTGCTTCTACTGAGCACTGGGATTATATATGCTGAAGGGAAGATATTCTAAAAATGAATTTCTATACTATTCCAAATTTACAGGGAAAAATGTAAATGGATAGAATAGTTCCAATACTGAGTTTTTTCTATAAATTTTTCATAAACCCTTTGCACCTATTTGCTTTTCATATATGATTCCTGTATAAATTAGGATAAAATTTGACATAAAATTATCTTAAGTTTAAAATGTAGAGATTTCACGGTGTTCCACATGAAGCATATCATTCCCACATACCTCTTCCAAAACACATTGAGAAGTGCAATGTATAATTCTCTAGTCTTCATCAAAATTTAAAGTTCGTTAATTTCATGGAAGGATAGCATGTAAATGCAACTCTTGAATTCAATACCTAATTTTAATCTTAGAGTTTTTGAAGGAAAAAGAATGTGATACATGTTATCCCTCAAAGTACAGAATGTAGAGGTCCCATAAAGCCGCTACTCAATTCTTGTCTCTGACCATGGCTCCTGACCTACAGTAATTCTGGATTTGCAGTTCACCGTGGAACAAAGGAGGGCAATGGTCATTTCACTGTTGCAGTCTCACCAAATTCTGCAGTCATTGAGTCAGGAAGGAAACATGACTACAGGGTGATGCAGAACCCACAGTTGGCCACAGGACCCATGCCAGCCCTTCGAATACAGCCTCCCAGGAGATATCACAGGGACAAATGTTTTCTCCATACTTCCATGTGATTTTTGTTACATAGTTTACCACAGAATGGTTCTTACCCCTCTGGGGAATGAGGCTCCTATTTTTAATGTAAGTCAATGAAATGTTAACACGTGTAGTTTCTTATTTACGAGGTGATTTTTCAGGAACGTGTGTAATACAGAGATAGATATAAATATATGGAGAAAGATGTTTGCAGGATGTCGGTGAATATCCAAAAAGTAAAACTAGTGTTTTCCATGAAGTCACAGTAATTAAAAAGGATTTCTTTCAAAGGCTGCCTCCATAGAAGTTAGATTGTAGTTTCTATTACTAATATTACTTATGAATATGAATAACATTTAATTTTTTCTACACTTAATTATATGTAGGTAACTTGAGAGGAAGCAACACACATATTTTTGATTTAAGTGAATTTTAATTATTTACCATGATATCAGTGGTCTGATAGCTGGTTTCTACTGCTGTTTTTTCTCTTTTGTATCCACGTATTTCTTTTTTCTGTCATCTTGACTTCTTTTAGCAGCTGATTGATTCTGTTACAGAGTATGGCTGTTTCTTTGACCTACAGTGCTGGTGTTCTGTAAACCACAGATCCTCAGTTACAGTCGTTGCCTCTGAACAGAGGCAAGGATTGAACATCCTTGGTGTACATGCATTTAAAATGTTTGCAATCAGTAACAGGTTTTAGATGTTCTACCATTGTATTAAACTTACATGAGAAAGATGGTGATAAATACCCTGTGTCCAATTATATCCACAACTTTAAGATCCCTGGTCACACCCTTCTCATTCTCTTCAGACCTCAGGCCTCTATTTCTTTTCTCTCTCTCTTTATCCTACTTACATAAATAGATCAGACATTGTGCCCCTCCCCCACTGTTTTACTTTGTAATCATTCCCTTCCTCTGTCTTTCTTTGTGCCCGCTCTGTTTGGATCATTTCCCTTTCTCTTTTTGTTTAAAATTTTTTGAATCGTTCCAACTCTGTGAAATGCTTTGCTTTTTCATATTATCCTTGTTATGCTCTGTCCTTCAAAGTCCATTCTCTGCCTTTCCATGCTCTGCGAGGCTGACTTCTGTGGAAGTCACGTCACCCAGGCTTCTTTGCCCTCTGGTTCCTATTTGGTTTCAGCCAATTTGGAGGCTTTGGCAAATGATCAGAGAAAGGAAAAAGAGAGAGGTCAGGATATTTATTCTATTCCCTGCTGCCTGGCTGTGGCTCTAGCTTCGTTCCTCTACCTGAGGTCCCTGGCTCCTGTCCGACACCCTCATCCCATGGCCACAGGTCTTGCCAAGTTCCAGAAACTGCTTCTTCTCTTTGTGTCTTCAGGCCCAGGGTGGTAATGATTGATTGCTTCATCACTCCTTCCTTTAAAACCTGTCCACACCTCTGTAAATAGTCTCTTCATTAAACTCTCTTCAGAGTATCCTTTGAATGTGCTATATGCTTCCGGCCAGGACCCTGAGTAATATGCGTATAGAAATAAAGCATTTTAACCTTATTTCTTACCAACCAATAATTCTGCTATTTCCATTAATTACAATACTAATGTTAAATGTGATATAAATGTCTTATGTCATTTGTTGAACAAGTATATACTCACGTTCCAATGTATGTACTTGCAAAATCTGGCAAACACTATCACGTAGTAATTATTCAATAACCTATTTGTGGAATGATGGCCTCTGCCTTAATCTAAAATCTAGGCGAGACAACTTTTACATATTTAAAACAATGAGAGAAAAAAATCATACCACAATATTAAGATAGAGCTAATTGTCCCTAATATGTTTCTTCCTCTTTTAAAATTATAGAACTGTCCATTTTTATCACACTTGAAATAATTCTTAGCTGGGTGTGGTGGTTCATGCCTATAATCCCAGTGCTTTGGGAAGCCAAGGCAGGAGGATTGCTTAAGGCCGGGTGTTGGAGCCCAGCCTGGGCAACATAGCAGGATTACTCTCTACAAAAAATTTTAAAATTAGCTAAGCATCGTAAAGCGCACCTACAGTTGCAGCTACTCAAGAAGCTGAGGCAGGAGGATGACTTGAGCCCAGGAGTTCAAGGGTGAAGTGAGCTCTGATCACACAACTGCACTTCAGCCAGGGCAACAGAGTGAGACCTGCCTCTAGGAAAAAAAAAATGGTTCTGTTTCTCTTCTTGTATGTATCTAGGTCTCACTATGCTACTTAGTTCTGGCCAAAGAGATGTAAGTGGTGTGCACAACATTGACAAAGATCTTCAAAAACAGATGCTTCACCATCCTTTCCCTTCCTCCTGTGGATTGAAATCCTGCTAGATTTTCTCAACTTGGGCAGAGCTGTCTAGAGCTCCTTAAGTTATGCAGAGCAAAAAGACTGAAGGAGCCTGAGTCCTTGACACTATGGAATACCATTACCAGCCCTGGACTTCCTCCTCCAGATTTCTCTTTCTCTTAGAAAGAAACAAATATACCTCTTGCTTCAGCTGCCATTCTCTTAGGTTTTCTGTCATATGCAGCCAAAGTTAATCCTGTTCCATGTGGGAATGTGTATTTGTTTCCTATTGCTGCTGTTAAAAATTACCACAAACTTAGTGGATTAAAACAACATAAATCGGCCAGGCTCAGTGGCTCACACCTTTAATCCCAGCACTTTGGGAGGCCGAGGTTGGCGGATCGCTTGAGCTCAATAGTTCGAGACCAGCCAGGCAACATGGTGAAACCCTATCTCTACAAAAGGTACAAAAATTAGCTGAGCATGGTGGCACAGGCCTGTAATTCCAGCTACCTGGGAGGCTGAGGTGGGAAGATGACTTGAGCCCAGGAGGTGGAGGCTGCAGTGAGCCATGTTTGCACCACTGCATTCCAGTTTGGGCAACAGAGACCTGTCTCCAAAAAAAAATTGTTTTAATTAAAAGAAAAGTAAATGTATTATCTTACTATTTTGGAAGTGAGAAGTCCAAAGCAGGTCTCACAAGACTCAAATCAAGGTTTTGTCAGAATTGAGTTCCTTCAGAAGGGCCTAGGGGAGACTCCATTTCCTGGCCTGTTTCAGCTTCTAGATGCTGCTCACATTCCTTGGTTTTGAGCCTCTTCCTCCGTCCTCAAAGTCAGCAACATCCAACAGAGTCCTTTGCATCTTGCCAGCTCACTCGTTCCTCTATTCTGCCTCCCTCTTCCAGTTATAAGGGCCTTAGTGACTAAACTGGGCCCACCCAGATAATTCAAAATATCTCTTCATTTAAAGGTCAGCTGATTAGCATGCTTAATTCCATCTACAATGTAAATTCCCCTTTGCCATATAACCAAACCTTTTCCCAGGTTTGGGGGATTAGGACGTGGACATCGTTGGGAGCCACTATTCCACCACTCACAGTATGCAAGTTTTGTATTTCATGATTGAGAAATATGTTTTATTTGTTCATCTTTAATTTGCAGATTTATAGCATTATGCTAATTGGTCATTACTCTGTATATAACATTTACATTGTGCCATGTAGAAGTTTTAATTGTTCATTAGTTCATTTATTCAACTAATATTCTTTTTTTTTTTTTTTGAGACAGAGTCTCCCTCTGTCACCCAGGCTGGAGTGCAGTGGCAGGATCTTGGCTCACTGCAACCTCTGCCTTCCGGGTTCAAGCGATTCTCCTACCTCAGTCTTCTGAGTAGCTGGGATTACAGGCATGCATCACCGTGCTCAGCCAATTTTTTGTATTTTTGGTAGAGACGGGGTTTTACCATATTGGCCCGGCTGGTCTCGAACTCCTGACCTCAGGTGATCCACCCGCCTTGGCCTCTCAAAGTGCTGGAATTACATGTCTAACATTCTTGAGCATATTATATGTGGCAGACACTGCATGGAACTGTAAATGCCTAATATGGTCCCTGACCTCAAGAAGCTTACAGGTTTGTGGGAGAAACATATATTAAAAGGCTGACACAAATGTCAAGGAAATATGGTTTACCTAAGAGAAAGATCTAAACAAACCCAGAGTCAAGGAAATCTTTCTTGGAGAAGTAATAGTGTTGTCAGAAGAGTAGGAGAAGAGAGTATTAAAGGCAGAAGTTACAGCATATGCAGAAATCTCAAAATGAAAGTATAGTGCTTTGTGGTACAAATCCAATAGCATCAAAGCATTGAATAAAATGGGCTCATAGTTCCAGATGAGGCCTCAGAGGTCAGTAAGCAGGAGCCAAGCCGTACAAAGGTGCCAAGGACGTGGGATGTTGCACTGAAAGCACCTGTAGGCCATGAAGGGCCTTGAAGTTAACAGCGTCTACCGTATAGAAGATGTGAATTAGTGTTCTGTGAGGGAAACGAAAAAGTGAGCAGGACAGCATCAAGAGAACTTAACTTTTTAAAAAATTTCAGTTGTTATTTTAGACACAGGGGATACATGTGTAGGTTTGTTATATGGATATATTGCACCCGGGTAGTCGGCATAGTACCTGGTAGGTAGTTTTTCAACCCACACCCCTCCCTCTCTCTAGTAGTCTGCAGTACCTGTTGTTCCCATGTTTATGTCCACGTGTACTCCATGCTTAGCTCCTATTTGTCAGTGAGAACATGTGGTATTTGTATTTTTCTGTCCTTGCATTAATTTTGAATAATCATGTAAGAAGGAATAATTCTGCAAGGAAAAGCAACACAAAAATAAGATGTGACTTTGCAAATTAAGCACACATAAACAATAATATTTGCAGATTATCTTTTTTTTTTTTTTTTTGAGACAGGGTCCTGCTCTGTTGCCCAGGCTGGAGTGCAGTGGTGCGATCATGACTCACTGAAGCCTCGACCTCCTAGGCTTAAGCGATCTTCCCATCTCATCCTCCCAAGTACCTGGGACTACAGGCGTGCACCACCATGCCTGGCTAATTTTTTGTACTTTTTGTAGATACGGGGTTTCGCCATGTTGCCCAGGCTGGTCTAGAACTCCTGGGCTCAAATGATCCTCACACTTTAGCCTCCCAAACTGCTGAGATTACAGGAATGGGCCCCCCTATGCAGCCTAGATTATTTTAACAAGTAGTGCTGCACTGCTGCTAAAAGTTCAGCAATATAAAGCATAATTAATATTTCCCATGTTTACAATATTAATAAAGTTGTTCCAGGTGATACCTTTTTACAGTGGTCTTTCCAGGTCCTAATACTGCCTTAGTACAAGGCATGCCCTCAAAATTATATGATATATGAATTAATATAAAAAAGAGTCCCCAACGTATTTTTTAATACTTGCTATTTTTTCATTATTATATTTACTGCAGCCTAACATATACTAATGTCCTGTCATTCAGATTCTGCATCTTCTAGATTACCTGACATATTTCTGAGAAGGCAAATTAGTTTTCTTTCCCTCGATTTCAGATTACCTCAGCATTTCTCCAGGTGTATCAGAATTCTTGGGGATTAGACAACCACATCCTGGTATGGACTTAGAATACCCAAGAATACCCAGAATAGCTAGTAATTCCCTCACATACATCCGGGTACTTTGTACATATCACTACTGTGGTGTTTATCACTTTTGTTTTTTCATTTTATTTTTATTTTTGTTTGTTTTTGTTTTTAGACAGAGTTTTGCTCTTATTGCCCAGGCTGGAGTGCAATGGCACGATCTCAGCTCACTGCAACGTCTGCCTCCCAGGTTCAAGCGATTCTCCTGCCTCAGCCTCCCGAGTAGCTGGGATTACAGGTGCGTGCCACCATGCCTGGCTAATTTTTGTATTTTTAGTAGAGACGGGGTTTCACCATGTTGGCCAGGCTGGTCTCGAACTCCTGACCTCATGATCCGCCTGCCTCGGCCTCCCAAAGTGCTGGGATTACAGGCGTGAGTCACCGCGCCCAGCCACATTTATCACTTTTACTACTTTTTTTTTTAACATCTGTCTCCTAGTCTGAGCTTTCATTTTTGCATTTCTGATATGGAAAGCATTGTCTGATGGGAAGTACACTCAATAATTGTAGAAAAGAGGGAAAGCTTCTGCAGTTGGTAAAACATTCTGGTCCAGAAGTTTTATGAAGGGCAAATGGGACAGTGTATGTGAAGTGTTTTATGTAGGATCTGGCACATGGTAAACAGTATATGAAAGGTAACAAAAACAGCAAAGCAGACTCTCAGGAAAGATTAGAGTCAGATAGTAAGGGCATAATCCACTAGATTTCTACACAGTGACTTTCTGTTCAAGGCTTAAAGGTAAGATCATTTGTATCCCTAAAAATGTCACTTCAGGCATAGTTGGATTAATTCTAACCTAAAGAGCAAAAAGAAGAGATATTTCACTCATAGGTGGGATTGAACAATGAGAACACTTGGTCACAGGAAGGGGAACATCACACACCGGGGCCTGTTGTGTGGGGTGGGGGAGGGGGGAGGGATAGCATTAGGAGATACACCTAATGTAAATGATGAGTTAATGGGTGCAGCACAGCAACATGGCACATGTATACATATGTAACAAACCTGCACGTTGTGCACATGTACCCTAGAACTTAAAGTAAAATTAAAAAGGAGATATTAACATGCTGTTTGTTTAACATTAGTTGGAATATTATGTTGTCTAGAATAACTGTTAGCTTACATTAGCTCTATTATTTAAGGAACTGTCTACGCGATAAGTAAACTTCCCATTTGAATGGTTCTAGCATAAAGAAAAGACAGATAATTAAGGTGATGGATGTCCCAAGTACACTGATTTGATCTTTACAAATTATATGAATGTATTAAATTATCACATGTTCTTCAAAACTGTGCACATCTATTCTGCATCAATAAAAAATAAGTAAACTTTTTACCTTAGGATAAATTAACAGTATTTGCAATGCAGTTAGATGGCATAGGACTCTTACCATTCTTACACACTTCTTTTTAAAAATACAAGTTGTTGGGCATGGTGGCTCATGCCTGTAATCCCAGCACTTTGGGAAGTCAAGCCAGGAGGATTTCATGAGTCCGGGAGTTTGAGACCAGCCTGGGCAACATAGTGAAACCTTGTCTCTACAAAAAATAAAATTAGCCAGGCATGGTGGTACATACCTGTAGTCCCAGCTACTCGGCAGGCTGAAGCAGGGGGATCCCTTGAACACAGGAGGTCGAGGCTGCAGTGAGCTGAGATTGTGCCGTTGCACTCCAACCTGGACAACAAGTGAGGCCCTGTCTCAAAAAAAAAAAAAAAGTGCAAGTTAAAGACTATAACAGAAATATTAAAACTTAGTCTTGTTTCTTGGTTTGTACCCGTTCAAACTGGTCCAAGCCAAATGATAGGAATTTATAATAAGGATATGAGTTTTTGTTTTTGTTTTTTCACAGACCCTGAGAGTAGACATGTAGGCAGGTCACACAAGTGAAGAATCAGAACATCTTTAGATAGGCAAGCAGCACCCCTCCATTTCTTGCCTCTGAGTCTGTCTGTGCTTCTGTTTTGTTTTCTTTCAGGGCCTACTGCAGTGCATGAAGGTGGTATGGACTCAGAACTCTGAAGTCTGAGGAGACAAATACATGCCCACCATAACAACATCACACAATACCTAGAGTCAAAACAGTTATCCCTATTCCTACCCCCAACTGAGTTATTCAATAAAGCCTGCCTTGTTGAATCTGTTTTCCCATGTATAGTTTATATAGTTACATAACAATTAGTTTTTTCCATATACTTAGGATAACTACATGTAATTTAGTATTCTGCTGTTTTCACTTACATATCACATACATTTTCCTGATACAGGTACATAGTCTTTATATTTGTCATTTTTCACTTGACTGCTATGTTTCTCAAATTGATATACTGTCATTTCCTAAGCCAGTTATATATTGTTGAACATTTAAATTACTCCCTTTTTTGGTTTGTAAATAAACATTGTTATGAAATAGTTTTTGTTTGGTTGGTTTTTGATCATTTCCTGGGAAAGTATTCTCAAAACTGAAATTACTGAATCAGTGGGAGTGAACACAGGTGTGTCTTTTAAAATATTTTATCTCATTGTGGTTTTGATTTGCATTTCTCTGATGGCCAGTGATCATGAGCATTTTTTCATGTGTTTTTTGGCTGCATAAATGTCTTCTTTTGAGAAGTGTCTGTTCATGTCCTCTGTCCACTTTTTGATGGGGTTGTTTGTTTTTTTCTTGTTAATTTGTTTGAGTTCATTGTAGATTCTGGATATTAGCCCTTTGTCAGATGAGTAGGTTGCAAAAATTTTCTCCCATTTTGTAGGTTGCCTGTTCACTCTGATGGTAGTTTCTTTTGCTGTACAGAAGCTCTTTAGTTTAATTAGATCCCATTTGTCAATTTTGGCTTTTGTTGCCATTGCTTTTGGTGTTTTAGACATGAAGTCCTTGCCCATGCCTATGTCCTGAATGGTATTGCCTAGGTTTTCTTCTGGGGTTTTTATGGTTTTAGGTCTAACGTTTAAGTCTTTAATCCATCTTGTATTGATTTTTGTATAAGGTGTAAGGAAGGGATCCAGTTTCAGCTTTCTACATATGGCTAGCCAGTTTTCCCAGCACCATTTATTAAATAGGGAATCCTTTCCCCATTGCTTGTTTTTCTCAGGTTTGTCAAAGATCAGATAGTTGTAGATATGCGGCGTTATTTCTGAGGGCTCTGTTCAGTTCCACTGATCTATGTCTCTGTTTTGGTACCAGTACCATGCTGTTTTGGTTACTGTAGCCTTTTAATACAGTTTGAAGTCAGGTAGTGTGATGCCTCCAGCTTTGTTCTTTTGGCTTAGGATTGACTTGGCAATGCGGGCTCTTTTTTGGTTGCATATGAACTTTAAAGTAGAGAAATGCAAATCAAAACCACAATGAGATACCATCTCACACCAGTTAGAATGGCAGTCATTAAAAAGTCAGGAAACAACAGGTGCTGGAGAGGATGTGGAGAAATAGGAACACTTTTACACTGTTGGTGGGACTGTAAACTAGTTCAACCATTGTGGAAGTCAGTGTGGCGATTCCTCAGGGATCTAGAACTAGAAATACCATTTGACCCAGCCATCCCATTACTGGGTATATACCCAAAGGACTATAAATCATGCTGCTATAAAGACACATGCACACGTATGTTTATTGCAGCACTATTCACAATAGCAAAGACTTGGAACCAACCCAAATGTTGAACAATGATAGACTGGATTAAGAAAATGTGGCACATATACACCATGGAATACTATGCAGCCATAAAAAATGATGAGTTCACGTTGTTTGTAGGGACATGGATGAAATTGGAAATCATCATTCTCAGTAAACTATCTCAAGAACAAAAAACCAAACACCACATATTCTCACTCATAGGTGGGAATTGAACAATGAGATCACATGGACACAGGAAGGGGAACATCACACTCTGGGGACTGTTGTGGAGTGGGGGGAGGGGGGAGGGATAGCATTGGGAGATATACCTAATGCTAGATGATGAGTTAGTGGGTGCAGTGCACCAGCGTGGCACATGTATACGTATGTAACTAACCTGCACAATGTGCACATGTACCCTAAAACTTTAAGTATAATAATAAAAGAAAAAGTCTCCAAAAAAATATATATTTTATCAGCTTCCTCTCAAGAAGGATTGTACCAACGTGTGTTGCCACTAGAAGTATATGAGTTTGTCTCACCATGCTTCAAAATTTTTCAAAACTGGTAGCTTATTCACGCTGGAACATATGAATTGTTCAACATTTTAGAAAATATATATATGAAAACACTTAAATGGACTAATCACAAGCATATGTAAATATGTAATAAATTCCACCACTGATTAAGCCAGTGATCCTGCTAGCTCAGTATCTTGAGACCTAGTTAAGGTCTTTTGTGTTAAATTCACCAATGGCGTTTCAAAAAAAATGTTACTTTTTATTTCTGAAGGCTTTTGCAAAGGAATGGCTTTGGTTTTATGACCAGTTTTGTCTTTGAAATTATCTGTCTAGACTTTGGCCAAGGTGTTCTATTAATTGTCAAATGTGATTGAATTTAATCACATGTTTCTTTCTAGTTTATAAGGTGTTCCTGCACATCATAAAAAATGCCCACAAGGAGTCAAATTACGTTATTCCTAGATTTGATACTGTTTTATATTATTGCTATATAGGCTTAGATAAGTATGTTGTTGTACCTTCAGAAGCCATATTTGAGCTACAGGTAAAGCTATTCTTAATTAGAATAGTATATAAAGCATACACATGGGAAACCAACATTATTCAGCATGTTTTGCTATTACTAACAACAACTTATTTTAATATTGTAAATAGTTCTGGAATTTTATTTTCTATATATTGAATTACATTAAATAAGTAAATTTTCTCTTTAGTAGCTTATTTCCTGAATCTGCACATTTGATATCATGCTATTGATTGGTAAGCACCAATAAATATCTATGTTAATTTCTAAAAAATAGTGTCATAAAAATATGGAAGATTTTCTGGCAGAGATTTTCATTAGCCAACTGGTGACATTTTTAGTAAATGCCAAAAAGTAATATATGAATATATAAAACATCAAATGTTTAGCATAAACTTTATAAATAACAGAAATGCCTAGTAGAAGAAAGTATACAGATATTGTCTGCTAAAATAAAGATTTATAAATTGACTATATGAAAAAATATAATTAGTCTCTTGAACTGAACAAATTGATTATAGTTCTGGTTTTGTTTTCTATGTCTGTGGAAGTCATAGTAAATCAAGAAAATGTACAGCTTGAATTCTGCTGTTTTTTTTCCTTACTGCCTAGTTTGCTTACATTTTTTTGTCCTCCCTTGAACTCACTTTCTCCAGACTTTGGGTATGTCATGGGCATAAATCAAACCACTCAGATCCACTTTTGGAGGTTGGTGTTGCTTTTAAAGCACGTCCTTGTATCTGTTCTCCTTCCACTGCTAGTCATTACAGAACTGACCATAAGCTATCAACCACACAAAAGCTTCTGATGCAAAGAATTTGACAACCCATTAGCTAGAAAACTATTCCCTGAATAATCCAAAATCGATTGAAGCCTTTCCCCCACATATAACATTATTCTGCCATTCCATTCATTTCTGCATTCCTCCTTTGTATAGTCTTGGGAAACATAGATCAGTGATGTAGTTGCGAAAGACATCATGATACCAAACAGGAAACAAGGATTTGGAAGACACTTTGGACCTCTTAATTTCCAGGCCACTTGATAGCAGATACAGTTCATTACACAAGAAAATTGCTTGATCTTGGGAAAAGAGGGCGCTGGAGGTGAGGGAAAATGTGTTAGTCACCAAGACGGTTCACGTTGCAATTCAATCATTTAGATCTAACTGGAGAATGATTGCTGCCATGTTCCAGAAAAAGAATGAAAGCCTCATTTCACAATAAGATGGTGAATGATACATCTTCTGTGTTTAGATGCTAGAAGAAAGGAAGGTTCTTTATTCCCCACTCTCCTCCCCTCCCCATCTACCCATTATTCTTCATAACTACAAATCCCATGGTTAAATTCTGTTGTACTCAATAAACATAAACTCAGAGCTCTGCCAGCACAATATTCTAAAGCATAAAGTGTAAATATTTAGAAAAAATATGAGAAGTATTTTAGTGGATATTTTGTTATATGTTCAGTATTTATATAAATGTTTCCATAATATACACAATTTTGAATGACATAATTCTTTCTCTACTTCCTCTTCTCTAGTTGGGCAGTTCTGTGAACACAAAACATCTCCTTCTCTGACGTTTCACTTGTCAGGAAGATCCTCTCATTTCCCACCCTTTACCCCTCCCCATGTGTCCTTTATTCTTTTTTGATTCCCCTAGTCTCTGACCACCCACTTCAAATATCTACCATATTTGTGTTATAATCAATTGTTCCATGCCTTATGCTATAAACACTTTTATGATAGACACCATTACTAATAACTTCTGTTATAGTGATGAGCACATCTGAAAAACATATTTTAAAAATAGATACACCATCTATGGCTGGTATGGGACAAGGGTTCTAATTGGAAACTGATATAGAAGGAGATCACAGTTTGTCTCAGAGGAGTAAATAACCTGAACCTAACCCAATAAGAAGCACAAAGGCTGAAAAAGTGATAACTCTTTTTAAATGAGCTACCGAGGATTAACCATTGCATATGGTATTCGTATATTGTATATCTGAGTCCTGTGAGCTAAGGAAAAAAAGATTGATTTTTGGAGCAGGCATCTTTACCATGACTAGGCAAAATCAAAAAGGGAAATAGCAGTCAGAAGTTGATAGATGTCCACTATCAAAAACAACTTAAACTCTGATTTAGAGTTTAATAACTCTGGAATAAAAATGGATCTAGATTGCCCATGAATGTAAGGACACATAATAATACATCTCTGGAGTTATGGAGACAGAAAAGGTCAAGAGTATATCTTCTCGAGAGTATACCTTTCATGGAGACAACTAAGCTGGGAGAAAAGCTAATATTGCATTGCTGGTAGCATAACCCACAAATATCATTAAAAATTCTTTTGGAACATAAAAAATTTATGTTAATGTAGTATATGGAACCAAGAGGTAATAACTATAGTAGTTCCTTTTGGACCAAAATAAATTGCCAACCACATATATAATTAATTTTCAGAACTCCCAAGGTATTATGTCTTCAATATGCACCTTCTAAATAAGTTAAATAGAGGAATCAAGAAATGGTAGAAAGAGGGGTGAAGGAAAGAAAATTTTTTAAAGATATCACAAGACATAGTTGTCATAGGAAGAAATTTAAACAGCAGGGCAACCTTTCTCAAAAAGATGTATCACAAGATTACCTCTAGTCAAAAATGACTGCAGAGTAGAAAGAAATCTCAGAAGCCTACCAAAAAGGTAATTTAGGCAAAGGGAAGGAAGGAAGGGAGGGAGGGAAGAAGGGAGGATGGGAGGGAGGGAGGGAGGGAGAAAAAAGAAAAGAATTCCCTACCACCACATTAAAAAAATGTTTTAGGACACTTTAGAGTCATTGTGTCTCAGACCCCCAAAATTGATTTCCATAAGAATAAAGATAGTTTTAGTTTTACACAGAGACACATACACATACACACGGTGTAGTGACTGAGAATCTTAAAAGAGTAAAATGAAACAAAATGTGTATTAACTGAATATCTCAGAAAAATGATTATGATAAAAAGATAAGGGCCTAGCGACACTATCCAAAGGGGAAAAATAAACTGGAAAGAATTAAACATAAATACAACTAATACAATTTTTCCAGAAAGAAATGTCAACAGAGAATACCTTTTAAAAGTTGTTCCAGTGCTGGGAAACCTAGATACCCACTTGCAGAATGAAATTAGAACCTTATCTCATATCATACAAAAATCAACTCAAAATGGGTTAAAAACTTAAACATAAGATCTGAAACTGTGAAACTACTCAAAGAAAACATAGGGAAACAGCTCTATGACATTGGTCTGGGCAATGATTGTTTTGGATATGATGACAAAAACACAGGCAACAAAAGCAAACATATAATAGACAAATAGGATTACATCAAAAGAAAAAGCTCTGCATAGCAAAGGAAACAATCCGCAGAGTAAAGAGACAACCAATGGAATGGGAGAAATATTTGCAAAGTATTCATCTGATAAGGGGTTAATGTCCAAAATACATAAGGTACTCAAACAACTCAGTAGGAAGAAAACAACTCAAATAAAAAATGAACAAAGTACCTGAATAAATAGACATTTCTCTAAAGATGACATACAATGGCCAATAGATACGTGAAAAAATGCTCAACATCTCCGATCACAAAACCACAATGAATTATTACCTCCTACTTGTTAGAATGGTGATTAACAAAAATGAAAGAGAACAAGTGCTGGCAAGAATGTGGAGAAAAGGGAACGCTTGTAGACTGTTGGTGGGAATGTAAATTAGTACAGCCACTATGAGAAACAATATGGAAGTTTCTCAAAAATAGAACTGCCATATGATCCAGCAATCCTGCCACTGCCATATATATCTGAAGGAAATGAAATCAATATGTTGAAGAGATATCTGCACTACCATGTTCACTT
The DNA here is from genome assembly GCF_000001405.40 of Homo sapiens. NCBI lineage: Eukaryota > Metazoa > Chordata > Mammalia > Primates > Hominidae > Homo > Homo sapiens. The sequence goes on along the minus strand of NC_000010.11, from coordinate 31,301,577 downwards.
CAACATTATTCACAATAGCCAAGATATTGAACCAACCTGAGTTTCCATCAGAGGATGAATAGATAAGGAAAATGTGGTATATGCACACAATAGAGTACTACTCAGCCCTAAAGCAGGAAATCCTGTCATTTGTGACAGTGTCCTGAAGGGCATTATATTAACTGAAATAAGTCAGGCACAGAAAGAGAAATAACGCATGATTTCACTTACATATGGAATCTAAAAAGTTGAACTCATAGATGCAGGGAGTAGAATGGTGGTCACCAGTGGCTAGAGGGTGGAGGAGTTGGAGAAATGTTGGTCAGAGGATACAAAATTTCTGTTAGGAGGAATAAATTCAAGAGATCTGTTGTACATCATGGTGCCTATAGTTAATAACAATATAGTATATATTTGAAAATTGCTAGAAGAGTAGACTTTAAGTTTTGTCAACACAAAAATTGTATGAGGTGATGCATATGTTAATTAGCTTGACAGGCTATTCGTAATGTATTTATTTATCAAAAGATGTTCTACATCATAATTATATACAATTTTGTCAATTTAAAAAAAGTCATCCAAATCATTAACAATGGTCTTAGAAAAAAGAAATCACGGTGAAATAAAATGATTATTTAAGGGATGCTGAGTAGAGCTAACTATTGGTTTCAGGCATAGTAATTATTGTTCTTTCAGTCGAGAGGAAGGTCAGTGTAGTAGGTCATTACAGAAAATACTGCTAGAATGTTTTTAGAAAACTGGATAGAGCTGCATACCTATGTAGGATAAAATATTAAGAGACCAACTATTAAGCCAAATATGTCAAAACGTGCCGTTTAACCTTCTAACCCTAGTTTGGATCCAAGGGAAAGTGCCTAATCTTTTTTAAAGAGAGATACTTAAGAATTCCTTTATTCATTTTTCTGACAAATATTTATTGACCTGCTTCTACGTACTCAGGCACCATTCTAATTTCTTAAGATACATTAAGGAATCAGATAGACAAAAATCTCTGCCTAGCAGAATTTATATTATAGTAAATGAGACACGTAACATGCAACAAATGCAATAAATAGGTAAATTACATGATGTGTTTGAAGAGGATTAAATGCTATGAAAAAATAGAGCCGGGTAAGAGTGATTGGAGTTGCAGAGGAATTGTGATTTCCTCTTTTAAGTTACAAGACATGAAAACTTGAGTGCCTCTACAACATGTTTTCAGAAAGGTGCACACCAGGTATATCAAGGGGGATGTCTGTGGAGCCAGGCATATCGAGGGCAGGGGGTGTCCAGTAAATGAGTGTTTGATTTTTAACTACTTAATTATTGAATGGTTCAAAGCAGTTGTTATAGCAGAAAGTAAGGTGTAGAATTCTCATAATAGAAATACACAGTTTTTCATGAGTTCTATAATAAACAAAATCTGTGGTGTCTCCCATTAACTGAATCCCTAACACCTGTTCTCTTTATTTACCTTACTTTTGTTTTCCATTTTGTCAAATACCACTTCACTACTGTTTTAAAACAAAATAATTGAACATATGTGGAGTTTTAGTCACAAAACATTTACATTTTTTCCATCAATGTTAATGATAATATAATCATCTATGTTTGTATGTTTATGAAAAGAGGAATAATTTATTTAACTACCACAGATAAATATGTGCAGCTCCTGCGTTTGAGCAGGGACCAAAGAATATGAAGAGATTTACTAACTTAGGGATAGGCTAGGGCCCTTTGGCTTGGCTTCATGTATCTTTTGCTTAGCTTTTTTAATTTTATGCACCTATGTTACTGCAGTAATAGTCTCAGTAGGGGTTATTGTTAATGACACTCAAATTCAAGACCATACAGATATTGGAACCTCTGCTTTTTTTTCTCAACCCTTGAAAAAAACATTAGAATTAAGAAAGTAATGTATTATTATTAAGCTACAGTAATAATAGTTCTAAAGAGCTTTACGCTCTTTACCAGTTAAAATCTCACTTAATCCTATAATAACATTATGATGTCAGGATGTCAGTGTTCCTTGGAACCTGAGAAAGAGGTGACTTTATCAAGGTCACCAAACTAGTGGGGTTAGTTAGGGGTTGGGTCAAGAAGAATACTACACAGTAACAAACAAACAGCAACACCTAAGTTATTTCTGTTTAAGGGACTTGGTTTTGTTGTAAAACCTGAAAAAGTATTTAATAGAGTTTACCAAATCTAGATTTAGCATTGTTTAAGTCAGTGCCCGTCATTACATGACTAAGCATCTTTCCTTTCACTCCACTGTTCTGTTTCCTGCCCCAGCCAGCAGCTCTGCTCACCTCATCTCACCTTTCCTTTTCATCTCAGGAGGGTAGGAACAGAACTGTTATAATCTCCAGCAAGGGAAGCAACCAAGTATGTAAAAAGAATTGTAATTGGCTTATTTTTAATCTTATGCTCACTTAGTGTATGAACTGTAAACTTTCTAAAAGGTGAAATACAACCCTTACCCAGCTCTATTTTTTCATAGCATTTAATCCTCTTCACATACATTATATAATTTATCTATTTATTGCATTTGTTGCATGTTACATGTCTCATTTACTATAATATAAATTCTGCTAGGCAGAGATTTTTGTCTCTTCTATATCATCTCTTCTATAATAATTCTTAATCATAATTTTTAAGCTTGAAAAATTCTCAAATGATATTGCAAAAATTAATATTTCAAAGCCAGTTTTTAAACACTCTCTCTATAATTTATGAATGAAACCAAAATTTTAGAGTTGAAATTTTTGAACTATTCCAGTCCCAATTATTACAGATGTAGAATTGCTAAACACTGGGTCATTTTAGTCTTCTATCAATTAATGAGTTTCTAGAACATTAATTGCCATAGGCTTTGCTTCAGGTCTCTCTTTCCTAAGTCTGGTCATTAACTAGACTTGCAAAAGAATAACCTACGGCATTTTGTTTTATGAAACAGCAGCAACAAAAATTACTATTCTTGAAATCTAAAGGATTTTTTTCTTGCAGTTCAAAAATTTTAGAGTCCTTTAAGACTCTTTTTTTTGCATTCTAAGACATTGGTAGACAAATTTAATTGCATATTGAATAATGAGATGAAATTTAGCATTATCCAACAGGAATGACCCACCCACCCACTCCCAGATGAAAGCATCGTATTATTTATTGAGTGTCTCTAAAGATTAAAATAACTTCCCAGGTAAGGAGACTTAACAGCCTCATTCCAGATCTTTACAGGATTATTAGGATAGTCTTCCTTATTGTTCAAATAGGTACTACTTTTGGGTTTAGGGATTTTCTGCCTGGTTTTCTTCTTAACTAGAAAGAAGGGAAGGCCCTCTCCTTGAATATGGAATTCCACAGCCTCTCATCTACTCAAGGACTTTTATCCTGAACTTAACCTTCTTTCTTCTGCATCAGTATCCCCCTCAGTAATACAACGTGCTGTAATGTTGTTACAGCCAGTGGTAGGTTCTCTGTCCTTGTGCTCCTTCCTGTGGCAAATCCTCACAGTTGGTCCTCTATCCTCCTTGAAATACTTCCTGCACTTGGCCTGTAGAACACCATGCTGTACTCGCCTGATTTCCCTAATGCTTTTCTAGCTACTCCTTTCAGGCTCCCTTACTTGTTGATCCTCCTCTCCCCGAACTATCAACATTAGACTGCCAGGGCCCAGTCCTTGCATGTCTTTCCTTCTCTGTCCACGTACCTTCTCTAAGCGATAAATATTCTTAGCTTTATGCCAATCATCTATATGCCAGTGGCTCCCAAATAAATATCTCCAGTCTGAATCAATTAACTCCAGGCTTAATTGGCCTCTTTATTTGGATGGCTAATAGACACTGCAAACTTAAAACTTCCCCAAACTGAGCTTCAGATACCAACCCCACTCACCAAATCTGTTCCTTCTGCAATCTCAATCTTTTATTTCACACAGTAGTAATTCCATCCTTTGAAAGGCTTGGGCCAAAACCTTGGGGTTAAACTTGACTATTCTTTTTCTTAAACCCCTTGTTCAATTCTTAAGAAAGCTCATACGTTCTTTTTTCAAAATACATCCAGAATTTGACTATTTTAAATCAGTTCCCCTCCCACTACCTGGGCTTAGCCACCGTCATCACTCACCTGCTGGCAGGTGAGTGTGATCACCTCCCCCGCTGGCATTTCTTGTTTCTACCTTTGTCATCTTTCAGCCTGTTTCAATAGAGCAGCCAAAGTAATTCTGTGAAAACGTAAATAGATCATGGTTTTGTTCAAAACTTCCAATGACTTCACCTCTTAGTAAATTATAGCCAACATTCTTACAATGGTCTTCAAGGTCTGCATGGTCTGTTCACACTCAACTCTCCAACGTTGTCCTGCACTCTCCATCCTTCACTATTCTAGCCACATCCACCTCCTCAATGCTCCTTGAATATACCAGGTATGTTCCTACCTTAGAGCAGGGGTTAGAACCAAGGCTTTTCAGATTCCAAAGACTATTCTAAATCTAAATAATTTAATAGAGACTCTCCAGAAATCCTAATGAGAATATTCTCATAAAATGTACTACTACCTTAATCACATGCTCGTTTTTAAATGCCCTTATTCAAAGGAATTCTAAACAGAGTACTTCATTCTCCTGGGTTATTTCCAAAAATCTGGTATAAACAATTATGAGACTAACTAGAAAAATATCTAACAGTTATTTGACATCTGATATGTACATACTAACTATGAGTGATTCAACTAAAAGCATCTAAATACAGTCAGCAAATGTTTATTTAGTATCTATTAAGTGCTGCCATATACTCTAAACTCATAGATTTCAGGTCCTGTGTTTGGGGGATACAGTGGTAAAAGATACATACACATATACACACATGCATGTACATGCACACACATATATACACATGCCTAATAAAAAACGTACACCTCTATACAGAACACCATAAAACATATATACACATATAGTGTGTGCATGTACATGCATGTGTGTTTATGTATATATATATAGAGAGAGAGAGAGAGGAAGAGAATAAGAGAGAAACTGGAGAAGGCCCAAGTGATTCTGAAAAAGGGACTATTAAGGGCCTTTGTCCAAAAGGAAATATAACATATGGTTATTAAATGAATCCAAGAATGCAAGTTTTGTTCAACATCATAATATCAGTTAATGAATTCATCATATTAACAAAATAAAAATTATCTCAATTTTGATAATTTTAAGATCACCTTGATTATCTCGATCTCAAATTTGCATAAAACACCTCTGATGTATTCAACATTCATTAATGATGTAAAGAAAGCTCTTTAAAAACTAGGAATAGAAGGAAATTTACTTAATCTGATGAAGAGTACCTGAAAAAACCTTATATCAAACATAGTATCTCTCACTAGGATCCAAGTGAAATAATGATGTCTAATCAGTATTATAATGAATAGTCTAGCCAGTGCAATAAGGCAAGAAAAAGACATAAAATGCATAAGGATCAGAATGTAAGAAATAAAATTAATCATTCAGTGGTGATATGATTGGGTCACAGAAAACCCAAAAGAATCTTCTGATAAAGTTTTAGAGTGAATAAGAACATTTAGCAAGAATGCTAAGTACAAAATCAATACACAAAAATTGGTTGTAATTCTCCATACCAGAAATAAACATCATCTAGAAAAAAATTAAAGACATCATAAAGAACAGTTCTTCAAAGCATCAAATACCTAGGAGTAAGCCTAATAAAAAATGTACACCTCTATACAGAACACCATAAAACATTTTCAAAAGCATACAAGACCTTAATAAATATGTATGCATTGGATGATGTTAGTTCTCCCTACATTCATTGGGTTTAATGTAATGAATATATTCAAACATATTCAATAAAAGTTCCAGTAGGTTTTTATGAAAACTGACAAGCTGATTCTAAAATTTACATGGAAATGCATAGGGCCGAAAATAGCTAAGAGTCTTGAAGAAGAAAAGGAATTACAGAGAAATTATAAAACAAAGTAATTAAGAGTTTGGATTTTAAAAAAAGGCTAATGAACCAGAAAGGAGAGTTCAAAAACTGATTTATGTATATTTATAGACTCTTGATTTGTGACAGGTGGCATCTTTTCGATAAATGGTGTTGAGTCAATTTCCTATCCATATGGTAAAAATGAAACTTGACCCTGAATTAATACCATACACAAAAATCCATACAAGCAAATTGTAGTGATTGTATATAAATATGAAATTTCAAACATTAAGCCTTCTAGAAAATAAAATACAAGATTATTTTCAGGTTCTTAGGCGAGGCCAAGTTTTGTTAGAATTAAAAAAGCATTATCTAAAAAGAAAAAGATTGATAAATTAGACTGTATTAAAATTAAGAACTTCCATCATTTAAAGACATCAATAAAGTAAAATTGAAAACCACAAAGTAAAAGACCCATACATTTGCAGCCTGTATAACCAAAAAAGAGCTCATACCGAGACTATGGAAGAACTACAGATGAGTAAGAAATATACAAATAACCAAATAGAAAAGCAAGCAGAAGACTTCAACAGAGCTCCACAAAGCAGGATATCCAAATGGCCAATAAAGCTATGGAAAGGGGCATCATTACTCTTCAGGGGAACGGAAGACAGAACAATAAAAGAGATGTCACTTCAAATCCACCAGAATGGATAAAACAGAAAAGCCTGGCAGGGCTCTGTGGAGAGGATATAGAGCAGTGGACGCACATATATTGCTGGTAGGAATGTAAATTGGTACTGGCAGTTTAGAAAACTATTCTGTATTATATACTAAAGCTGACCAGACTCAAGCCTTATGACCCAGCAAAATTCCACTCCTAGGTGTAACTGCATACATATGTGCACCTGCGTACGTAAGTGCAAAGACATGTACACACATGTCCACAGCAGCACATATATAAATAGCAGTGTAAAATGTCCATTCAAACAATGGGCATTCAGAACACTAACCATTGTGTTTCCATTTATATAAAGTTCAAAAATAGACAAAACTAATCTATGGTGATAAAAATCAGAATATTGGTTACTTCTCAGAAAGTGAGAGGGTTTAGATATGTAGAGGGACCAAGAGGAGGATTTTGGCATGTTAGTGTTACTGACATTCTATTTTTTGACCTGGGTGGTGGTTATAAAAATGTTCACTTTGTGTTAATTTGCTGAGATAGACACTTAGGATTTATACTTTAATATGTCTCTATTATACTACAATATTTCTTGAAAGATTTCTTAAAATCCCCATTGCAATATAGGAACTAAATAGGTACCATGTTTACCTCTTTTCCCAATTGATTTGTTTCTGTTTCAGTGTGCTACAATTGTTGGAAAAGGCATTATGTGAACTAATAAATATAGTAGAACCTCAGGAAAACATACCCTTGGCCATACCTATTACTGTATGTTTTCCTGGATATTTTGGGTTCACAAGCATGGGAAAACAATGTTTTAAGAGGTACTTAATCAAATAAATGCTTTTAAATAATATTTTTATTCCAAATGAATACATTCTTCTGTGGTCCAGACATTAGTCTATGCCTGCATTTTCAATACATGTAAAATATAGTTTTTTAAAAAATGAAGTGTGATAATACCTTACATATTATTTTGTGACTTATTTTACATCTCAAATATGTTTGAAATCTATTTATAAAAACAAATGTCTGTCTACCTAATATATATATTTTTTCTTTTTTTATTATTATTATACTTTAAGTTTTAGGGTACATGTGCACAATGTGCAGGTTAGTTACATATGTATACATGTGCCATGCTGGTGTGCTGCACCCATTAACTCGTCATTTAGCATTAGGTATATCTCCTAATGCTATCCCTCCCCCCTCCCCCCACCCCACAACAGTCCCCAGAGTGTGATGTTCCCTTTCCTGTGACCATGTGTTCTCATTGTTCAATTCCCATCTATGAGTGAGAACATGTGGTGTTTGGTTTTTTTGTCCTTGAGATAGTTTACTGAAAATGATGATTTGCAATTTCATCCATGTCCCTACAAAGGACATGAATTCATCATTCTTTATGGCTGCATAGTATTCCATGGTGTATATGTGCCACATTTTCTTAATGCAGTCTATCATTGTTGGACATTTGGGTTGGCTCCAAGTCTTTGCTATTGTGAATAGTGCCGCAATAAACATACGTGTGCATGTGTCTTTATAGCAGCATGATTTATAGTCCTTTGGGTATATACCCAGTAATGGGATGGCTGGGTCAAATGGTATTTCTAGTTTTAGATCCCTGAGGAATCGCCACACTGACTTCCACAATGGTTGAACTAGTTTACAGTCCCACCAACAGTGTAAAAGTGTTCCTATTTCTCCACATCCTCTCCAGCACCTGTTGTTTCCTGACTTTTTAATGATTGCCATTCTAACTGGTGTGAGATGGTATCTCATTGTGGTTTTGATTTGCATTTCTCTGATGGCCAGTGATGATGAGCATTTTTTCATGTGTCTTTTGGCTGCATAAATGTCTTCTTTTGAGAAGTGTCTGTCATATCCTTTGCCCACTTTTTGATGGGGTTGTTTTTTTCTTGTAAATTTGTTGGAGTTCATTGTAGATTCTGGATATTAGCCCTTTGTCAGATGAGTAGGTTGAGAAAATTTTCTCCCATTTTGTAGGTTGCCTGTTCACTCTGATGGTAGTTTCTTTTGCTGTGCAGAAGCTCTTTAGTTTAATGAGATCCCATTTGTCAATTTTGGCTTTTGTTGCCATTGCTTTTGGTGTTTTAGACATGAAGTCCTTGCCCATGCCTATGCCCTGAATGGTAATGCCTAGGTTTTCTTCTGGGGTTTTTATGGTTTTAGGTCTAACGTTTAAGTCCTTATTCCATCTTGAATTATATTTTTATAAAATGTTAAGATATTAAAACTCATAAGATGATAGAAAATAAACTCCCTTTTACCTTTGCCCTCCCACATTACTAATTCCCAGAATCAAGCATGTTAAAAGATTCTCTGTGTGTATGCCATTGTGGGTTTTTGTTTTCATTTTTGTGTGGTTTTTTTTTTTTTACAGAGTTTGAGATCATACTCTTCCAACTTTTCTTTCACAAATATACTTTCAGCACTTTACCTATCAGTGCATAAATATCTACATCCATTCTATATCAGTCCTTTAAATGTAGATAATATCTGTATCATTCTTTTTAATGATATAATATTATCATTTTAATGATAATAATGATATAATTTAATTTTTAATTATAATTAATTTTTAATGATATAATCTTCCAACATAGAGAAATTTCATAATTTATTTAGCCTTTCTTCTACTAATAGTCTTCTTCCAGTTTTTTCTTTACAAAAATGATACAACAAACATCTGTGTACTTACACGTGTGTGTGCATGCATATGTGTGTATCTTCATATATTTCAGAAAATACAAGAACCGCTGGGTTAAGAGTATAAATATTTTTAAATACTAAAAATAACTCAAACCATACTTCTGTGAGTAGTCATTGCTATTGGATACAACATCACAGCAAAACAAATGTAATCAAGAATTTAAGTAAGGCACCAACATGGAAACCAATGTGCCTCTTAAGGCAAGAAGACTATTAAAGGTTGATGTGAGATTTAGTGGAAAGGAATACATATGGGAGATAATTTACTGCTGCCCCAAGCTTATAGCCATATCACCCATTTTTTCCTTAGTAGTTAATAAAAACTAATGTCAAATATAAAATGGACAAACCAAACTATAAGCCAACATTGATAGATAGAAATTATAATACAATATAATTAAGTGATCAATTTATAATACTTATAGTCAAGTGAAATATTTCACTTAGGTTCCTTAAAATTAGAAATTGTCTTCTCAGGATTAGGCCACATTTTCTCTGAAAATCCATCATCCTTGAGTCATGCTGTTCTAAGGATGAGTTTTTCTTCTAATGGACAATTGTTGATGGTTTAAATCTGTACCTACTGCTGACATTGGGTTTTAGTTTAACCCCAGGACATGAAGACATCAGAATCTCTTAGCGATAAAGCAGTGGATATTATATGTATTAATGTGCTCTAAAGATAGTTAAATTTGGACGAGAGCAAATAAAATTTTTTCTTTACAGCCAGCAAATTAGTACTGTGGCTCCTTGTCATTTAACTCCTCCATGAGTCAGAATAAAATCTTTCCTTGACATAACACAAGATCACTAATAGTAAGGGAACAGGAGATGTAGTGGAAATCTAGATCACTGAATGACTTTGAGCCTTTCTGCATAATAGTGGCAGATATTTTTAGTGCTTGTTATGTGCAAGGTGCACTTGTAAGTGCCTAATTTGTATTATTCCATTTACTCATTATAACAACCCTATGAGGTAGATGGAAAATAAGCACTATCTAACAGACTGGTAATAGATGCATAGAAAAGCTAAGCCAAGTCAACAACTGGTATGTAGCAGAGCCAGTATTCATATCCAGGTACTGTGGCTACAGAGCCCGTACCCTTAACAATGTCACTAAAGCTGTTGGTTTAAACTTGTGAACCCCTAGGCTCAACCTCTTTTCCCCTGTACCTCACTTTGAAGCCCACAGAATCTCAGTAGGTCATAAAATATCTCTTTGCCATTGGGAAGAGAAGCTAGGCAGGGCAGATGTCTCTACAGATGTGTTATTGGGAAGTTGAGTGTCATAACCTTGTCTTGCCATTTAACTTTGTGATTTTTTGCTGAAAGCCACATGTGATGTATCTGGCAATAGGAACTAAGGTAATCAGGCTTTTAGTGTGAGATATTATGTTAATCTGGCTAGGAGCTGAGCTATGTTTAATTTGTTGTAGCTGTGCCAGAAGCTTATGTTTCCTCTAGGTTTTGGTTTTTGGTTTTTGGTTTTTGGTGTGTTTTCTTTTTCCTTCCCTGTTATCTTTGAGCTTCCCAAAGAACTCCTTCTCAAATAGAGTCTGTAATGAGCTCCCTCAACCGTAGTCCACTGCTATTATTGTGAAGCCCTGTTGATGCAATGGTAACATATTGGGGAGGGGAAGTGTGTTCTAAGCTTATGATTCACTCTCGGGGGTTGTTTTAGTGGGCCTTAGTCTCTGGACTGTGACTTTCAAAAGCATTTGTTAGCCTTTTTAACACTTCTCATTGTGTGAGAAGGTTAGGGAGAGCTCGATTTGTCTAATTGCCCTTACTTAGGTCAGATAAGGCTCTGGTAAAGGAGTTTTCCTTGAAGTCAGGTCTTTGCTGAAGAGAACAGAACATTCTGGATGTATCTAAAAATGGTCACTTATCCCCTGGATGTACTGAAAAATTCTTACTTTTCCCCTCTCCCTGCTTAAAGAAGAAAGGAATTTTCCTCTGATCTTCACCGTGAGAACCTGATGAAGCTTCTGGAGTTAAATTCAGGAAAGTGTGGGCTCCAGGGGTTTTAAACTCTCAAGCTAGTTCACCCTTAGCCTCTGGAAATTTATCAATTACTATTTAAGTGTTCCTGCTAGTTACTTATTTCAGTAACTTCTGCTTCTGATAAGCTGTGATTCTTTGTATTTATCTGCCTTTCCATTTTCGGAGGCAGCAGTTTGCCCTGTGACTTCAATTTTCTGATGGATCTAAGAAGAGTTGTTGATTTTCAGTTTATTTAGCTTTTTTCTTACAAGGAAGCTAAGTGACAACTTCCAAGCTCTTCACATGTTGGAGTGTGGTGAGGGAGAACAAATAATCTCACAAAACTTAGCGTCTTAATTCATTTGGCCCACTGTAACAAAATACTGCATAATTTAAGAATAATAGAAATTTATTTCCCACAGTTCTAGAGGCTGAGAAGTCCAAGATCAAGGCACCAGCATATCTGGTGTCTGGTGAGGGCTCACTCTCTGCTTTGTAGATGGTATCTCTTGCTGTGTCCTCACATGGCAGATGGGCCGGGAAGCTCCCTTCAACTTCTTCTATCAGGGCATTAATTCCATTCATGAAGACAGAGCCCTCATGACTTAATCACATCCCAAAAGGCTCCACCTATTAATACCATCACAATGGGGATAGGTTTCAGCATCAATTTTGGAGGGACACATTTAGACCATAACACATAGTATCTCTAAACTTCTCCTAATTTTTTTAAAATGTAAAATGTAAGTCTTCCCGTTTCAATGACAATACACAGGAAATGTCACCATTAAATGGTAGTTCTTAATTTTGCCAGCACATTTGGAGGTTTTGTTTTGTTTTACTTTTAATACCAGTGCTTGGGCCCTTCTCCAGGCCAACTGAGTCAGAATTTTTAGGGTTAGGCTTGAATATCCACACCCTGCCCCCACCCAGCCTTTTAGAGCAATGGTTCTCAAACTTAAAGTGTGCATCTCAGAATCACCTCGAAGATTTGAAATTCAGATTGCAGGGCTCCACCCCCCAGAATTTCTGACTCAGTGGGTCTGGTGTGGAGCCCAAGAATTTGCATGTCTAACAAGTTACAGATGATGCTGGTGTCACTGGCACTGGACCACATTTAGCAAACCACTACCACAGCAGATCCTAAAAATAAATCACAACATTTGACATCCATGATCTGCTTATTCCTCTTGCAAAATGAGACACCATAACTTTGCATTTTTCCTGTGAATTCTCTGGTTGATTAGGTAAAAATGCTCAATATGGGTTCTTTTTTTTTTTTTTTACTTTTGGTATATTAAATTTTTCTATCTTTCAGGGTTTTGTCTATGGCCAGCTTCTCTTTACATGTCACCTAACTTTCCTTCTGGGTGATCTTATAGATTTACATAGTTTATTTCATCTAAATGCTGATTATTCAAAAATCTATCTGTCCAGTTGGATTTCTCTCCCGAGCTTCACATCTGTATATTCTACTGGTTACTTGACATATCCATGAAGATGTTCCCCAAAAAGCTACAGTCAGCGTGTCTACATCTGAGATGTATTTCAGCCTCAAGGTCCCCTTTCTTTGTGAATAATACCAAGATGTATCCTATTTTTTCAAGCCAGAAACCTGCACGTCGACTTTGCTTTCTCTTCCTTATCCCTCTTTCAAAATGGTCCCCAAAGCCTACAAATACTATCTCCTTAATATCTCTCAAGTCCATTTCACTCCATTTATGCCACTGTGTATTTTATATTATTTGATTGGTACAAAAGTAATTGCGGGTTTTGCCACTACTTTCAATGGCAAACCCGCAATTACTTTTGCACCAACCTAAACCTCTGACTGAATGCTCCAATGAGATGATTTCATTTTATAAAATCTAAAGCTGGAACTGTATCATTGGTGAGAAGGAATACAAACTAATTTATTATGGATACCTCTTATACCACCCATGAACCAGCACTCTCCAGCATGCTAGTGTGAGAGAGATTCTTAATTTGAGCTAGTGTGTCCTGCACTGGAATGCTGGCTCTTTGGGGAAAGCCTGGAGTAGGTCCAACAGAGGTCTGTTTGCATGAATGGCCAAGGAAGCTTCTGGGAAAGAATTCACTGGAAGAGAAGAGAATCTGAAAGAGAGAGTCATGGAGGGAAGTTGCCTGAGCAACCAAAACTCAGTTATTGAGAAAAGGAAACTATTACATATAGCAGATGATTTTTTTTATTTTATTATTATTATCCTTTAAGTTTTAGGGTACATGTGCACAATGTGCAGGTTAGTTACATATGTATACATGTGCCATGCTGGTGTGCTGCACCCATTAACTCGTCATTTAGCATTAGGTATATCTCCTAATGCTATCCCTCCCCCCTCCCCCCACCCCACAACAGTCCCCAGAGTGTGATGTTCCCCTTCCTGTGACCATGTGTTCTCATTGTTCAGTTCCCACCTATGAGTGAGAACATGTGGTGTTTGGTTTTTTGTCCTTGCGATAGTTTACTGAGAATGATGATTTCCAGTTTCATCCATGTCCCTACAAAGGACATGAACTCATCATTCTTTATGGCTGCATAGTATTCCATGGTGTATATGTGCCACATTTTCTTAATGCAGTCTATCATTGTTGGACATTTGGGTTGGTTCCAAATCTTTGCTTTTGAGAATAGTGCCGCAATAAACATACGTGTGCATGTGTCTTTATAGCAGCATGATTTATAGTCCTTTGGGTATATACCCAGTAATGGGATGGCTGGGTCAAATGGTATTTCTAGTTCTAGATCCCTGAGGAATCGCCACACTGACTTCCACAATGGTTGAACTAGTTTACAGTCCCACCAACAGTGTAAAAGTGTTCCTATTTCTCCACATCCTCTCCAGCACCTGTTGTTTCCTGACTTTTTAATGATTGCCATTCTAACTGGTGTGAGATGGTATCTCATTGTGGTTTTGATTTGCATTTCTCTGATGGCCAGTGATGGTGAGCATTTTTGCATGTGTCTTTTGGCTGCATAAATGTCTTCTTTTGATAAGGGTCTGTTCATGTCCTTCGCCCACTTTTTGATGGGGTTGTTTGTTTTTCTCTTGTAAGTTTGTTTGAGTTCATTGTACATTCTGGATATTAGCCCTTTGTCAGATGAGTAGGTTGTGAAAATTTTCTCCCATTTTGTAGGTTGCCTGTTCACTCTGATGGTAGTTTCTTTTGCTGTGCAGAAGCTCTTTAGTTTAATGAGATCCCATTTGTCAATTTTGGCTTTTGTTGCCATTGCTTTTGGTGTTTTAGACATGAAGTCCTTGCCCATGCCTATGTCCTGAATGGTAATGCCTAGGTTTTCTTCTGGGGTTTTTATGGTTTTAGGTCTAACATGTAAGTCTTTAATCCATCTTGAATTAATTTTTGTATAAGGTGTAAGGAAGGGATCCAGTTTCAGCTTTCTACATATGGCTAGCCGGTTTTCCCAGAACCATTTATTAAATAGGGAATCCTTTCCCCATTGCTTGTTTTTCTCAGGTTTGTCAAAGATCAGATAGTTGTAGATATGTGGCGTTATTTCTGAGGGCTCTGTTCAGTTCCATTGATCTATATCTCTGTTTTGGTACCAGTACCATGCTGTTTTGGTTACTGTTGCCTTGTAGTATAGTTTGAAGTCAGGTAGCGTGATGCCTCCAGCTTTGTTCTTTTGGCTTAGTATTGACTTGGCGATGCAGGCTCTTTTTTGGCTCCATATGAACTTTAAAGTAGTTTTTTCCAATTCTGTGAAGAAAGTCACTGGTAGCTTGATGGGGATGGCATTGAATCTATAAATTACCTTGGGCAGTATGGCCATTTTCATGATATTGATTCTTCCTACCCATGAGCATGGAATGTTCTTCCATTTGTTTGCATCCTCTTTTATTTCCTTGACCAGTGGTTTGTAGTTCTCCTTGAAGAGGTCCTTCACGTCCCTTGTAAGTTGGATTCCTAGGTATTTTATTCTTTTTGAAGCAATTGTGAATGGGAGTTCACTCATGATTTGGCTCTCTGTTTGTCTGTTATTGGCATATAAGAATGCTTGTGATTTTTGTACTTTGATTTTGTATCCTGAGACTTTGCTGAAGTTGCTTATCAGCTTAAGGAGATTTTGGGCTGAGACGATGGGGTTTTCTAGATATACAATCATGTCGTCTGCAAACAGAGACAATTTGACTTCCTCTTTTCCTAATTGAATACCCTTTATTTCCTTCTCCTGCCTAATTGCCCTGGCCAGAAATTCCAACACTATGTTGAATAGGAGTGGTGAGAGAGGGCATCCCTGTCCTGTGCCAGTTTTCAAAGGGAATGCTTCCAGTTTTTGCCCATTCAGTATGATACTGGCTGTGGGTTTGTCATAGATAGCTCTTATTATTTTGAGATACGTCCCATCAATACCTAATTTATTGAGAGTTTTTAGCATGAAGTGTTGTTGAATTTTGTCAAAGGCCTTTTCTGCATCTATTGAGATAATCATGTGGTTTTTGTCTTTGGTTCTGTTTATATGCTGGATTACATTTATTGATTTGCGTATATTGAACCAGCCTTGCATCCCAGGGATGAAGCCCACTTGATCATGGTGGATAAGCTTTTTTGATGTGCTGCTGGATTCAGTTTACCAGTATTTTATTGAGGATTTTTGCATCAATGTTCATCAAGGATATTGGTCTAAAATTATCTTTTTTGGTTGTGTCTCTGCCCAGCTTTGGTATCAGGATGATGCTGGCCTCATAAAATGAGTTAGGGAGGATTCCTTCTTTTTCTATTGATTGGAATAGTTTCAGAAGGAATGGTACCAGTTCCTCCTTGTACCTCTGTTAGAATTCGGCTGTGAATCCATCTGGTCCTGGACTCTTTTTTGTTGGTAAACTATTGATTATTGCCACAATTTCAGAGCCTGTTATTGGTCTATTCAGAGATTCAACTTCTTCCTGGTTTAGTCTTGGGAGGGTGTATGTGTCGAGGAATTTATCCATTTCTCCTAGATTTTCTAGTTTATTGGCGTAGAGGTGTTTGTAGTATTCTCTGATGGTAGTTTGTATTTCTGTGGGATCGGTGGTGATATCCCCTTTATCATTTTTTATTGCGTCTATTTGATGCTTCTCTCTTTTCTTGTTTATTAGTCTTGCTAGCGGTCTATCAATTTTGTTGATCCTTTCAAAAAACCAGCTCCTGGATTCATTAATTTTTTGGAGGGTTTTTTTTTTTGTCTTTATTTCCTTCAGTTCTGCTCTGATTTTAGTTATTTCTTGCCTTCTGCTAGCTTTTGAATGTGTTTGCTCTTGCTTTTCTAGTTCTTTTAATTGTGATGTTAGGGTGTCAATTTTGGATCTTTCCTGCTTTCTCTTGTGGGCATTTAGTGCTATAAATTTCCCTCTACACACTGCTTTGAATGTGTCCCAGAGATTCTGGTATGTTGTGTCTTTGTTCTCGTTGGTTTCAAAGAACATCTTTATTTCTGCTTTCATTTCGTTATGTACCCAGTAGTCATTCAGGAGCAGGTTGTTCAGTTTCCATGTAGTTGAGCAGTTTTGAGTGAGTTTCTTAATCCTGAGTTCTAGTTTGATTGCACTGTGGTCTGAGAGACAGTTTGTTATAATTTCTGTTCTTTTACATTTGCTGAGGAGAGCTTTACTTCCAAGTATGTGGTCAATTTTGGAATAGGTGTGGTGTGGTGCTGAAAAAAATGTAAATTCTTTTGATTTGGGGTGGAGAGTTCTGTAGATGTCTATTAGGTCTGCTTGGTGCAGAGCTGAGTTCAATTCCTGGGTATCCTTGTTAACTTTCTGTCTTGTTGATCTGTCTAATGTTGACAGTGGGGTGTTAAAGTCTCCCATTATTATTGTGTGGGAGTCTACGTCTCCTTGTAGGTCACTCAGGACTTGCTTTATGAATCTGGGTCCTCCTGTATTGGGTGCATATATATTTAGGATAGTTAGCTCTTCTTGTTGAATAGCAGATGCTTTGTTACTCTCCACCTCATGCCTCTGTGAACTTAAGTCCTCTGTAGGTGTTAGATCTGCATGTAAATAAACTAAATGAACCATATGCCAGTTGTTAAGCACCAAAGCCTCTTCTAGCCTCTGCTTTGTGATGCTGTGGCTGGGACTCTGCAGACCTCAGTTCTGCTTTGCCAGCTGGCATCCTTCTAGGCTCTGCCAGTACAGGGAGGGGAGCTGCTATAGGGAACCTGGAAGGGTGGAAGGCTGGTATAATAAAATACCATAAACTAGATACCTTACAACAACAGACATCTATTTTTCACAGTTCTGGAGGCTGAGAAGTCCATGATCAAGGGACCAGCAGATTCATTGTCTGGGGAGGACCTGCCTTCTGGTTCACAGATGGCAAGTTCTGACTGTGTTTCACATGGCAGAAGGGATGCAGCAGCTCTCTGGGTCTTCTTTCATAAAAGGGCCTTAATCCCATACATAAGGGCTTTGCCCTGATGACCAAATCATCTCCCAGTGGCCCACCTCCTAATACCATCACATTGGTGATTAGCTTTAATATATAACTCTTGAGGGGAAGCAGACATTCCAACCATAGCAGCAGCCCTTTATGTTAAATTCTCTTTGTTCAAATAACTGGAACAGGTGTTGTCTCCTGATTGGACCCCAACTGACTCAAACCATTTCACTAACATTACTGTAAAATATTGGGACACAAAAAGTACTTATTTGGTTCCCTTCAATGATGCTGTAATACACAACAGGACAAAGGCATTCTGTATCTCATCTCATGGAAAACCATGCAACTGTATTCTGTAGATGAAATGGTACCTGAGTGAAGAGACAGTAGTGTCCAGCTTGCACATACAATGTGGTGCTGCCTTATGTGCCTGGCGGGCCTGGCCTGGATATGCCCAGGGGACACAGCAGTGCCTCCTGGATGTGGTAGTAAGCAGCGGAGGGACACACAGAACAAAAAGGGATTAAAACCATTTATGATGGTGAATTCTCTTCTTCTACTCTGACTTTCTTGGTGAAAAGTAACCAGATTTGTTAGTGAGCTCATGTAAGACGGCCTTTGGGAACTCCTAGAAACACTTGGGGCAGGTTCGTAGAAAACTAGGAAACAGTATTAGCAAGTGACAGAAGGACCCCTGAAATCAGGATTACCCTATTTAGCTATACATATGTTTTAAATTTTAGTATTGAAAACCATAGCCTTTAAAATAGGAGCTATTAAATGTTCTTATTTTTGTCTCTCTAGTTTTGCCATTTTAATATCCTTATTTGCCATTAATCTAGTTCTTTGACTAATACACAAATCTACAAAGTGGTTTAGTTATCTTGATTCAGAGCTCTGATCTGCATATGAGCCAGTGTAGAAGAGAACCAAGGACCTGGAGTTTCAAATGCAAGCACAGGAACTTTCAGCATCTTTCAAAGCTCTTGGCTCAGAGGGTAGCAAGCAAGATTGAGTGCTTATCATCTCTTTTCTGCCCCTTCCCTGAGCCCCATTCTTCTTCCACATTCTATGGTCTTGTTAGAGATTATGGATGTTCAAGATGAAATATTGACAAATGGTGTCTGCAACTATACTTTCTTAGCTTCTCCTTTATGAAAGTTTATATCCTTTCTTCCTGAATAATTGGTTTGATTTTTTTTATGGTTGTTGACTTGGGAAGTCTGTGGATATGTGTGCCTGCCTCCCATTCAGCCATTACCCTTACACTTCCCAAATTATGCACTGAAGTGTTCTGGGGCACCACAGAGAATTCAGAGAAGGACTGTGGAATATTTTTAAATTTTAAGAAAAATATTGTGACATTCATTCGACACTGCATGAACTACTATTAATGAGTTGTTTGCATGTTACTACTTAATAAAAGGAAGAAGAAAAGAACTGTTTGATGTTTCTTTTGATTCATGGGCACTATGAAAAAATCATTGAGGCACTAAGGGCACTGGGAAGAAAGTAAGTTTGGGAACCTCCGCATTACCCTCTTCCCAACAACTCATGTCTCTTTAGGGGTTCCATATAGATATGGGACCTTTTTTGCCCCCAGATTCAGGAGATGGAGCATAGGATCAAACTAAATTAATCAGTTCAATCTACCTCCTGGCTTTGTTAAGAAGTGAACTAATTAAGAAGTGAACATGTGATCCAAGTCAGCCAGATTAGAGTAAAACTCAGGTTACTTGCTTGAAATGCTATAACAATCTCAGTATCTCTTTGTTCTTCTTTTCTCTCAATGCCTAGCCTGTTAAGACATTTTTAATGACCCATAATATTGTTGAATTTGGTAAATACTTCATGTACATTTGAAAATAATATGAATTCTCCTTTTTAGATATGTTATTTAAACCAAGTTGTTAATTGTGTTGTTTAGATTTTTATAATCTTAACAAAGTTTGATTTACTTGCTCTGTCACTATTTAGACAAGTGTGTTAAAATTCCTCTGTAATTGGCCAGGTGTGGTGGCTCACGCCTGTAATCCCAGCACTTTGGGAGGCAGAGGCGGGTGGATCACGAGGTCAGGAGATCGAGACCATCCTGGCTAACACCATGAAACCCCCATCTCTACTAAAAATACAAAAAATTAGCTGGGCATGGTGGTGGGCACCTGTAGTCCCAGTTACTTGGGAGGCTGAGGCAGGAGAATGGCGTGAACCCGGGAGGGGGAGCTTGCAGTGAGCCAAGATCGTGCCACTGCACTCTAGCCTGGATGACAGAGCGAAACTCTGTCTCAAAAAAAAAAAATTCCTCTGTAATTATAATTTGGTTGATTTATTCTTTTGGTACTATTAATTTCTGATGTATACATTTTGAATCTTTGAGTGCATACATATTTAAAATTTTTATATTTCCTGGTGGATTGAATCTTTTATCATTATGAAAAGTTCTTCATTATCTCTTATAATGCCTCTTATCTTAGTATAACTAAAACAACTATTTTTTCATACTCATACATTTAACCTGTGTCCTTATATTTAAATATGTCTCTTGTAAAAGGAATATAGTTAGAATTTTTTGTTTGTTTGTTTTGTTTTTCTTTGTTTTCCTCTAGTCTGAAAATCTTAGTCTTTTACTTGGAATATTTTATTCAGTTACATTTATTGTAATTATTGACATTGTTGGGTTTAAATGTTCCCTCTTTCTTTTTTTTCCTATTTAACCCACTTGTTTTGTTTTTTCTTCTCCTTTATTGTCCACTTTTGTATTAATCATTTGATTATTTTGTTTCAACTGTTATCTTGTTGTTCATCTTTAACTCTTCTTTAGTAACTACCCTAGAGATTACAATTCACGTTTTTGACTTATTATAAGCTAATATAGATTATTACTTTTAATACTTCCCAGATAATGCTAAGACCTAATAACTTTTAGATTCAGTTTATCCCTGCCCACTTTTAAACTTATTCTTTTTTGCCTTTTAATTCTTTATGTAGTTTAAACTCTGTAAAGACTCAGCATTATCATTATCATCACCTTATACAGACAATATTCAATTATTAATATATTTATCAAAAATTTTTATCTTTTCTCTTGCTTTTTGTAACATTGATATTTTTGTCTATGATCATTTTCTTTCTCTCTGAAGAACTCATGTATTTCTTGAACTGCTTGTCTATTGGCAACAAATTATCTAAGTGTCAGTTTTTGTATTCCTGGAACGTCTTTACATCACTAAATTTTTGAAGGACTTTGGGGATTACAGTTTTTGATCAGCAGTTATGATCTTTAAGCACTCTTAGCTCTGTCATACTATTGATTTTTGTTTTCCATTATTACTGTTGAGAAGTCATCAATTAATCAGTTCTGATGCTTTGAAAGTAAAGTTTCTCTCTGGCTGCTTTTAAAATTTTCTTTTTGTCTATGTGTTTTTTAAAGCAGTTTTATTCTAGTGTGCCAGGAATATTTATCCTTTTCTGTATTTTTCCTTTTAAGGCTTTCAGAGCTTAATGATTTGTGTTTGATGTCTTTCATCTTCTGGAATAGTCATTTTTATCTCTTCAAATATTGCTTTAGTTACATTCTCTCTTCCAGTTCCTTCTGAGACTTTAATTACATGTTTCTTGGACATTTTCACTATGTTTCACATGTATTATTTCATACTCTTTTCTGTATCTTACACTTTTTTTTTAGCTCTGTTCTTGAGTGTTGAATTGGCCTCACTTTGGGTTTCCTTATGCTTTTAATCTCACATATATAATATGTTGTTAAATCCATATGCTGAGTTTCCAATTTCCATTCTTGCCCTTTTTAGTATCTTAGTATATTTTTGTCCTTTTCTTCTATTTCATTGAACATATTAATCATAATTATTTCAAAGTCCTTGTCTGCTTAATCCCATCACCAAATCATATAGTGATCTTTCTTATCTACCGATTCTTGATTTTATGATCTTTTTCTTGGCATGTTAAGTAATTTTAAAAAGTGAATTCTGGACACTATACATTAAAAAATCATAGAGGTTCCAGATCACATAATCTTCTCCAGAGAAGTTTCATCTTTCCTTTCTGGGTAGATAGAATGAAGACTGATAACAAATACAACCAGGGACTAAGCTTTATTCACACAGGTGAAAACTCTATTTACCTCGCTAGAGTGTGGCTCTCTAAGGCTTCCGCATGGAAACCTGTACTGTACACTGGAGCTTCTCTTGGCTAGTTCTTAACTCTATTATTATTGTTGTCCTGAATCAGAAACGCAGACCTTTTCTGGGGCTTTGTTCTTAGTTTCTTATTTTTCCGTCTCATGCAGCTTCAGAATTCAGCACATATTGTGGGGGAAACTTTCTTGTGCCAACTCTAGTGCTTCACTCATTCCTTTCAATCAAACACTAGCCCTTCATATCTTTAGTTTTCTAGACCCAGTACTGCAAGACCACCAAAAACTCTGCTGGTGTCCTTCTTTCCCAGTAGCCCTCTGTCCAGGCAATTCTCAGATTTTAGAGTCCAAAACTGGCAAATTTACCCATGGTTAAAGTCAGCTGCAGATTCCAAGCTAGTCTCCCCACTGTTGTCTCTTCTCCAGAATCTTCACAATCTTGGGCTCTCTTCTTCCTGGTTGCTTCAGGAAGCAAACCACTGATGCACTGGAACAGATATTTTGTGTATCTCATTAGCTTTTTCTGTGTTTTCTCCATGGGTGCATTGGTGTATGCTAAGCTCCTCTATCATATCCTAAAATGGAAGTTGATTTTTCACATTAAACTTTGCAATTAAGCCATGTTTTATGACAGCCCAGTTTTCCACGTATTGCTGAGTAAGGTCAGTAACACTAGTAAATACTGAGTTACTGTCAGATACGTTATATGTAATTTAGAAGAATTCTAGAAGTGATGCTTAAAGAGAGATTATAATATTTTTAATGTTTGCAATTGTAACAAGGCCTTTCGAGAAAAGTCTGTGAAATTATAAACAAGGTAAGAAAATCTATGTTACAGGAAGGAGGTGCTACTCAACATACAGAAAACACATTATCTCTTTTCCTCCATGTGATACTTCCTAGGATTAGGGACAGGGAAACATCTGACCAGTTCCAGAAAGATAAGGAATTCTGCTGACTCATAGAGATAGCCATATTTCTAATGACCAGCATAGGAAAAGCAGTATGAGAATTTGCTGTCCTTAGAAAAGGAAAGCCAAGGAAATAAAAATCCCCTCTCAATGAACACCAAATTGGCAGTGAAGATAAGCTATGGGGATATAGATACCACATTAAATTTATGTGTAAGTGATAAAGTTATGATAAGCTGTTTTTAGTACACATAAACAGCAAGAGAAATACAGAGGAGATTTCCAATTTGCCATGAAGGTTATCTTTCTAAGTACAATGGAGTCCTGTGCCTCATATCACTGCTATTTTTTTTTTTTTTTTTTGAGGTGGAGTTTCGCTATTGTGGCCCAGGCTGGAGTGCAATGGCTCCATCTCAGCTCACTGCAACCTCCACCTCCCGGGTTCAAACAATTCTCCTGCCACAGCCTCCCAAGTAGCTGGGATTACAGACATGCACCACCACATCTGACTAATTTTGTATTTTTAGTCGAGACGGGGTTTCTCCATGTTGGTCATGCTGGTCTCAAACTCCCGACCTCAGGTGATCCACCGGCCTCAGCCTCCCAAAGTGCTGGGATTACAGGTGTGAGCCACTGCGCCCGGTCCATCGCTGCTATTCTTAATATTCCCAAACACACATGTATAAAGTGAAGGTACTGGCTGGGCACTGTGGCTCACGCCTGTAATCCCAGCACTTTGTGAGTCCAAGGCGCGTGGATCACCTGAGGTCAGGAGTTCAAGACCAGCCTGGCCAACATGGTAAAACATCGTCTCTACTAAAAACACAAAAATTAGCCGGGTGTGGTGACACATGACTGTAATTCCAGCTACTTGGGAGGCTGAGGCAGGAGAATCATCTGAACCTGGGAGGCAAAGCTTACAGTGAGCTGAGACTGTGCTGCTGCACTCCAACCTGGGCCACAGAGTGAGACTCTGTTTCAAAAAATAAGAATAAATAAATAAATAAAGTCAAGGCACTATAAGGCTCTAGGAGCAATCCTGGACCTGTTAGCAGAAAAGAAGGATTTGAGTTTGGTAAATCATCAACTTAATGTCCAGTCAGTGAATTCTAGTCCCGCTAACTTCTATGGACAGGCCCCATCACCCACTCCTGCTTGCTTCTCCTGAACACTGATCCTCCCTTAACATTTAGAAACCCTTACTAGTGACTTTTCTGGTCCTATCCTCCTCCTGCTCCACCACTGGTTTTGGTACTGTAGCCATACTAGACTACTTGCAATTCCACAAATATGCTCTGTATTTTTCATACCTGCAAGCCTTAGTCTATTTGATCTCTCTCTCTGGAATATATGATTCCGTTTTATCCAACCCCTCTGCTCTTCTCTTTCCTATCTCTCTGCCTATGGTAATCTTATTTTTTAATACTTTCTCCCATGCCTCTTTATTAAATATTTCCATTCCTAGCCAGATGTGACCTGTTCTTCCTTAAAATGTTATAACACTTTGCGTATGTCTCTCCTAGGACTTTTAGTGTAATCTGCCTTGAAGAAAAATTGTTTGTGTTCTTATGTTATCCTTCTTAGTAGATAGTCAGCTTTTTGAGGAAAAGAACTGTGAACTTTTTTTAACTCCACAGCTGGGCCCAACAGAATCTTGCAAACACTAGTCGGTTAATAAATACTTGGTCAGTTAAATATAGGTGACATATGGCTCCCCAAGGCAGTTCACAACATGGATATTTATTTTCTTCCAAGCCAGCTGGATTGGCGTCTGACTTGTCACGCTTCTTTAAAGGCTCACATAATTAGATAGGACCCAACCAGGATAATCTCTCTTTTGATTTTACAAAGTCAACTTATTATTAACCTAATTGTGATAGTGATATGCCATCATGTTTACAGGTTCCCCTGTGCTCAAGGGGAAGGACACGCAGATAACAGGGATCATCATAGAATTCTGCCTATCACCTCCTCCTCCCTTTTTTTGCATCTTTTTTTGTATATCTACTCACCCAAGTGGTTGTCAAAATATGATCCCTCGACTATCAGTACCAGCATCACCTGGAAATTGTTAGAAAAACATTCTCAGGCCCCACACCTGATCTACTGCATCAGAAACTCTGGGGGCCCAACCATCTGTGTTTTAACAAGCCTCTGGGTGATTCTGATGCACACCAAAATTTAAAAGCCACTGCCTCACCCATGGGTCTTTTATTTTAGTACCATACTATAAGTAACTTTCTCTATTCTCTGCCTTGATTAAAACAAAACACAAAAAAAATAGCCTAACCATATTCCACTAGCTGTTTTAATCCTTAGTTGATGAGCAACTCAGGAGGAACATAGATTCCGAAACTTGTCATGCTGGGGCCTCTTCCATATTGACTGTGACTCCCTGACAGCCCCTGCTTCCGCCTTCTTATCCTGGTTGCCATTTGCCTTACAAGAAGAGGCACAGTAGTAATGCTGTGTATAACATGTCAACTGAATTAATTGGGTAGTTTTTCACCCATCTTTTCCCACATCTTTGCCCCATTTAAAAAATTGGAATGATTATTCTGACTCTGGGTTTATTGTTCTATTTCTTGCTATTATCACTGCTGCTGTGTGGGGAAAGTAGAGGATTTTCATGTAGTAAGTATAACACTTCCTTAGACTGATAGTAGTTGATTAATCTCAGACATTAGCGCTGAAATTATATAAAACCCATGTTACAGAAACAGAGATCTTGCTACATCTAAGTAGAACCATGTTACAATATAAGAATTGGGGTACAGCACTGTATTTGTAGGTTCTCCATGGTGTAAGAAGTTAAATGTAAACACTGCATGTGTTTGCACCAGAATCAAATCTATAGTATAGTTGAGTTGCTGAATAACAGGATTTTATTATACTTCAATAAAATTTTAACTGTAAAAGTTAACCAATCTCTAACCAGAAGTTTTCTAAATCAAGAAATATTTTACTTAGCAAATATCTGTATACATTTTTGACATTTTATGAGAAGCATCTTACAAATTGGCTCGCCGGGACATTTCTATAAAAGGAAATCTGCTTTTCCAACGACTCTCCTTCTCATGTCATCTTCCACCCCAAGGTAGCTTTCAGGAGGGTAGGGCTTTCTGTACATTTTGGCTTCTTACTGAATCCTCAGCACCTCGAAGATGGTGCTCACAAATATTTGTGGAATGAATATGCTTTTTCTATCATTTTATTACTGAAGTCTTCCTATGTATAAATGATAAAATGGACCAAATTGCCTGAGCATCCTCTACGACAAGTGAGGACCACTGCCTGTTTTCGTAAAAACCAGTTCTCTGTTAGAACATGGCCTGGGTCTTATTCATGACTCAACCATGTAGATTACATGCTAAACTGAATTTACAAAATTTAATCCAAGCTTCTTTACTTGGAACCAGAGGTTTTCTAATGCAGAAGTGTATACCACAGAGTATGTGCATGTATGGGTGTGTATATAAAGGAAATACATTTTATACACTTTCTGTGTTCATGTTTATTTTCAACCACATTAAACTAAAATTAGTGATCAGATGTGGTGGCTCATCCCTGTATTCCCAGCACACTGGGAGGCAAAGGAGGGGAGGATTACTTGAGGCTGGAAGTTCAAGATCAGCCTGGACAACATAGCAAGACCCTAAATCTAAAAAAAATTTTTTTTAACTGGGCATAGTGGTGAATGCCTGTAGTCCCAGCTACTCAGGAGGCTAAGACAAGAGGATCCCTTGAGCCCAGGAGGTTGAGGCTGCAGTAAGCTATGATCGCACCACTGCGCTCCAGCTTGGGTCACAGAGCAAGACCCTGTCTCTTACAAAAAATAGTTAATTTATGTGGTACCCTTTGCAGTGGTTAGCCCCAGCAGGACATTGGAAGAGATGAGCCAACAGAGCCAGCTGGCTGGTAAAAAGCAATGGTAAAACAAGCTGGGTGAGGAGAACTTTAGGAAAGACTCATGCCTTGCTCTTCCACTTCAGAGGACAGAAGCTGAAACCCAGACTTAGAACTTAAGAGAAAATAATACTCTAGAGTAGGGCTCCTTTATTCCTAGAATTCTTGTTAATATAATTAGAAATGATTAAACAATAAATGGCTGTATAAATTGTGGAATAAACAGTCAGTGTCTGTATTTGTCTTACAGAAAAGCTAGTGTATTGTTCTTCTTTTCTCATAGTTGAAGGGACTTCAAACTTCTGGTACCATAAATAATGGTGATATTAAAATGGCAACCATTGCTTCAGAACAGTCTACCCGTGACTCATGGTTTCCATAGTGGTGCACAAGCCTTCAAATTTCACAATGCATGGGACAAATGGAAATAAGGCTTTAAATATCATTTTACCCAGAAACTCAGAACACTCGGAAACATATGTAGCACAAATAGTTATTAAAGTATAGAAGAAGGAAAGGAGTGTTAATTCAGAGACAAACCTGTCTCCAATTAAGAAAGAAGGAACCCTACATTTTTCTTTCTCCATGTTCTTCATTTGCCCTAAATCCTCTCCTGTCCCAAAGAAGACGACAGACCCCCAGCCTGTGAGTCCCTGTTATGCACACCAGGAAGAGCTTTCAGCCTGTTTGGAAATGTTCTGTTTCCTCCTCAAAACATATTAGTTCTTTCCTCTCTTTTAGGCACATGTTTTCATGGGTTTCCTTTCTAAGGCTCAAAGAGAAAGAATAAATCTTTTTAGAAACTCATTTCAAATCAGTAACACATAATTTTTTAAAAAATGATTTATTTGCTGCCTTAAATATTTCCCTTCCCATTGCTTTATTTATTTATTTATTTATTTATTTATTTATTTATTTATGAGACAGAGTCTCACTCTGTCACCCAGGATAGAGTACAGTGGCGCGATCTCAGCTCACTGCAACCTCTGCCTCTGGGTTTAAGCAATTCTGACTCTGTAGTCCTCAGCCTCCCCAGTAGCTGGGATTATAAGTGCATGCCACCATGCCAGGCTAATTTTTGTATTTTTAGTAGAAATGGGATTTCACCATATTGGCCAGGCTAGTCTTGAACTCCTGATCTCAAGTGATCCTCCAACCTTGGCTTCCCAAAGCGCTGGGATTACATGCGTGAGCTACTGCGTCTGGCCTGTATATATTTTAAAATTAAAAAATCTAAAAGCCTTATTGTTGAAAACCAACAGTCCTCCTCCCATCCCTCTTTACTTCCCAAACAGACTACCCAGCAGCAGCCATGTTCAGTTATTTCAGCTGTTTCTCCACATTTTAGGTAATACTTAACAGTATAGTCTCTTGGTTTATGAATTTTAGACAATGTAAGCTTCATATTATGGTAGGTGAGGCTGCCATTGTCTTATGCCCTACCTTCCACTTCCACATCCCATCTGCCCAATACAGTTAGATTTTAGTTTTTGGCAAAAACAGCAGTCATTGTTTATGTTAGTAAGGCTAGGTAAATATTTTTTATTCTCCTTCAGTTAGTATACTTCGATTGTTTACTTTTTGTACAATTTTTATTCTTCCTAGAATTAATAATTGCTTTCTTTATATTTTTATTTGCTTAGTTTCTTTGTATCTATCAGTATATATTTTTTTCTAATGCTGTAACATTAAACAACTGTCAAACAACTAAAAATAACTTTCCCCAAATCTAAAGACAGCAGATCAATCAGTTCCATTTTCCCCCTCTCTGGAGATTTCTTTCCTACAGCTTTTGCCCCACTTGGTCAAATATGAATGTGCTATTTAGGGCGGCTGCACAGCTGTCATTCTGGAACATTCCTTCATGATCTCCTGGGAATTTTCTTAGTTTGCTACATATTCTATTTCCTGTATCTCAAGTATTCCTGTTTCTTCATTTACTTCCTCTTTTTTTCTGGAGCACATTCTCCAGTATTTTTCTAAGAGAGGGTATAGGAGGTAAAATTTTGAGCCTTTGAATATCCTATAACAATCAAGATTAACTGATAGTTTATCCAGTTTTAATATTGTAAGTTGGAAATAATTTTGCCTCAAAAATTCAAAGACATTTCTCCATTTTCTTTTAATTTCCTTTTGGGGAGTTTAATGCTATTTGACATCTCTTTGTATGTAAGCAGCTTTTCTTGGTTTGTTTATCCATTTTGGGAAGACTCTGGGATCTTGTCTGCTTTTTGGTGTACCTAAATTTCCTTGATGCTGTGACTTGGGATGGGTCTTTTCTTGTTTGGTGTGCTAGTCCCTTTCAATCTGGAGAAAGACACATGGGGTTAAAATTCAAGTGTAAATCTAAAGAATGATGTGTCTTTCCCCTACTCAGTATTTTTTCATATAAATCTTGCTTTTATGATATTTTTAAGTGAAGAAATTCCTGTTTTACTTCCTTTCATTGTTAGCTGTCAGTGCTGTCACAACAATATTAGCACCATCATGATAATTGATCATAATGGCTCCCTTTATGGCTATTACTGTGCCGCAGGTTCTTCAGGATCACAATAGAACCTATCTCTTAGTGTGTTTGAGAATATTAAGTGAGTTATAACACATAAAGCGCTGGGGCCAAATACTCTACATAGTAAGTGCTCAATAAATAATAGCTAGTTGTATCACTATTCATGATCCAATTAAACAGGCTAGTATTATCCTCATTTTACAGATGAGGAAACTGAGGTCAAAGAGGTTACATTACTTAGACAAGGTGACACAGCCAGCAAGTAAGGGGCAGGGCTGGAACCTGCTTTGCCTGGCTTTCAGTCCATGGTCTTTCTGTTCTGCCACACTGCCAGAGAAGGTGATATGGTTTGGCTGTGTCCTCACCCAAGTCTCATCTTGAATAGTAGCTCCCATTATTCCCATGTGTTGTGGGAGGGACCCAATGGGAGTTAATAAAATCATGGGTTTCCCCGATACTGTTCTCATGGTAGTGAGTAAGTCTAACGAGATTTGATGGTTTTATAAGAGGTTTCCCTTTCACTTGGCTTTCATTGTCTCTTGCCTGCCACCATGTAAGATGTGCCTTTCACCTTCCACCATGATAGTGAGGCCTCCCCAGCTAGGTGGAACTGTGAGTCCACTAAACCTATTTTTCTTTGTAAATTACCCTGTCTCAGGTATGTCTTTATCAGCAGCATGAAAACAGACTAATACAAAAGGCATTGCTGTCTTTCTTTCCATGTCTTTTTTTCTACCCATGGACACAACTCACTCTAGCACAATATAAATCACAATAGTGTGCAAGGTCAATGTCAGATCACAAACACTGGAGATCATGGACTTCCTTGAAGATACTCAAGTCATGCATAAAAATTACTCTGCCCTGAGTAAGTTAAATCCTCCTGTGTGAAGGCAGGAACTGGAACAATACATTTTCCACATGTGATATTCCATGACATCATGGAAAGTCTAGGGTTGGTTCAAATTAAGGCTGCGGTGATGTTCAGTTAGTGGTGAAATAAGAGCTTTGCTAACTGATACATGCAGCATATGTTAAAATAAGCAAGACATGTTGTCCTGTCCAGAAGAGGTTAACAGATTTGCTGTCTGTATTATTTATGACACTTTCCCAAAAGGAAAGGTTTCATGTGTGATTGTGCAGGCAGAACATTTTCCCAGTCAGTCACACAAAGTTCAGTCCTTTGCGGCACTCTTGAAATATCCCCACACCGTGCCAATAGCTATGGGAGCTGAGCACCTTCCAGATCCTCAGACCTCGCCTAGATGGAGCCAACTCCTTCCTCCACTGAGGAGTGTGGAATGTTCGGCAGAGCTGGGTACAACAGGTTTCACCTCTAATTTTGGAACTGGAAAGTGTTCCTTTTTGACAAATGTGGACACCCTTTTCGACAGGTCTATTGCACTAGACAACATTGAACTAGGAATAATGACAGAAATTGGCTTGAGTAGAAAAAGACCATTGCCTTTCTCATCATCCAACATCAACTACAATTTTTGATAAATTGAAAATAAGAACAAGCACTGGAGGAGGTGGTGGGCTGTGTTATTCTTGTGGCCCCGAGCATATGTCATAGAAAGGAAACCACCCAGAACAAACATTGTAAGATTTTTGAGGCTATGGAAATAGACAAAACGAAAATATACAATGAAATTTTACATGCTGGTCAATTTGTTTCCTTATTCTGTGTCATCCCTTTCTCATTGAAAACCTAGAATAAGGATACATAAGCAGTCATAAGGAACTAGGTTCCGTATATATATGTGTGTGTGTGTGTGCGCACATGTGTGTGTTATATATATCTATATTTATGCTTCCATATATATCTATATTTATATTTCCATATATATTACTTCCATATATAATATATATAAATATATATACTTCCACATATATTTAAATATACTTCTATATGTATTTTATATATATATATATATATATATACTTCCATATATATATATATGGAAGTATAAATATAGATTAGATAGATAGATATTGAGATGGGTCTCATTCTGTAGCCCAGGCTGGAGTGCAGTGGTGTAATCATAGCTCACTGCAGTTTCAAACTCCTGGGCTCAAACAATCCTCCTTGCCTCAGCCTCCCAAGTAACTGGTATTATAGGTGTGTGCCACCAAGGCTGGCTAATTTTTTTCTAACTTTTTGTAGAGACAGGAGGTCATGCTTTGTTGCCCAGCCTGACCTTGAACTCCCAGTCTCCAGTGATACTCTCACCTCGGCCTCCCAAAACACTGAGATTAGAGGTGGGAGCCACTGTACCCGGCCAATAATCTCATTTTTAATACGACTTGTTACTATGTATGTTTGTTCATAAGAAAAGATACCCATTTCAAAGAATTTGCAAGCTGATAAATGTGGGCAGGTCTCAGCAAGGCAGCACTACTACAGTGGGAGCTGTGAAAACGAGAAATAAATAAAGGGCCCCTGGAGTGCCCCATTTATGAGGACCTGCTGTAGTGGTGCTGAGGTTTTACCCTCCCAACTGCAAGAACATTTTGAACAAAATCCCCCTGGCTTGATTGATTTATTTCATTATAATATTGATTATAACACACCTCAGTGAATAATTCTGAAGCCATTTGGTGGCTGTAATCTCTACACATCATCTTTTCATGGGCCTGAAGATTTCTCTGTCCCACCTGCTTTCTGGCCTAGGGGAGGGACTATAAAGAGGGAAGGAGGTAGGAGACTTGCGGAAGGGGAGATGAATGCTCAAAGGTCCAGAGTGGCCGGGCACGGTGGCTCACTCTTGTAAACCCAGCACTTTGGGAGGCCAAGGCAGGTGGATCACTTGAGGTCAGGAGTTTGAGACCAGCCTGGCCAACATGGTGAAACCCCATCTCTACCAAAAATACAAAAATTAGCCAGGCGTGGTGGCGCCTGCCTGTAATCCCAGCTACTTGGGAGGCTGAGGCAGGAGAATTGCTTGAACCCGGGAGGCAGAGGTTGCAGTGAGCTGAGATTGCGCCATTACACTCCAGCCTGGGCGACAGAGTGAGAGTCCGTCTCAATAAAAGCAAAACAAAACAAAGTCCACAACAACCTTCCTAAGAAGGCCAGAGCCAGGGAGTAAAAAATGCCGTGATTATGTGTTCTTCT
Organism: Homo sapiens; assembly: GCF_000001405.40. Classification (NCBI taxonomy): domain Eukaryota; kingdom Metazoa; phylum Chordata; class Mammalia; order Primates; family Hominidae; genus Homo; species Homo sapiens. The sequence goes on along the minus strand of NC_000010.11, from coordinate 31,269,258 downwards.
CACCTCCCTGGCCTGCTGCTCTCGGCATGAATAGAGAAGTAGCACTGGGCCTGAGGATTGGGACCACATCATGCACATCCTTTCGCACACAGAGATATGGGCGAGGTGTCCTGACACTTGGACCCACAGCTCAGCTGCTGGCTCTCTATGAGATTGAAGCAAGTCATGTGAATGTTCGGGCTTCCAAACGCTAGGGCAGCAACATCCACAGCGCCTTTCGCTTCTCACAGCCTCTGTCTCTGTTTTAGGATTCTTTTGCTCCTTGGGCCTGGAATTAATCTGGCCAATCCAAGAAATCATCTGGTTCTACAAAGATATACAGGCAAGAGTCTGAGAGCCAAGAGCCACCTATCATTGCTCTGAATCCCTTTTGTCAGTTCCAGGTGGTGTGTCCTCCCCCTGAGACGATCTGTCCCTCTCAGCCCGCTCCAGAGCAGCCCTGGCTTGGAGGACAGGGAAGATGGATGTTTTCACCTTGACCTCACACCTCCCTTCCCGGCATATCTTCTTTATTCCCATTCTTTCCAACCTTTACTCCTCTTCCTCTTCCCCATCCAAGGGGCAGTAGAATCAAAGGCAAATCAAGACAGATTCTCTGGCAAATCCTTTCGTACTGTGATTTATTAAATTACACAATTGTTTCCCAAGTCCCTGTGACCCAAAGTCAGGAAAACTGGCTGAGTCCCTCACAGGAAAATAAAATACTAAGAAAAATGCAATCCCAAAGGTAGGCAAGGGGGGATAAAAAAAACTTTCCATTTTCAATTCTAAATGTCAAATGGCCATTCTAGTTTTATTGTAGGGCAAATAATTGTTATTTGTTGAAATTCTTCTGCAAATAACAGTATGTAAAGGCTTTTTAGGAGAAATTGTTTGGGGAATGTATTTAACTCACTGTACCTAAAATTTACACAAGACCGACTATTTTAAGTACAATGAAATGCCATTTTCATAATTTCATATAATATTTTTGTGATGGATAGCTACTTTAAATTTACATGCCAGCTATGTAAATGGCCGGAGTGATTTTTCATTATCCTAAGTGGTAAGTAGTTTGAAATATCAATGTAAGTGCATTGCGGGCATCCCATTCATACTTTATTAAACTAAAAGGTTGCTAATTAGTTATTATATTGAAAACAATACCCACTGGGGAAGAAAACTGATTTGCTGAGATAAAAAATTATTTTTTAGAGTTAGAATGTAAGTAAATTAGTGGTAAGAATACACAATTATAGTTGATCGAATTTGACTTCAGGAAATAACTGTACCCTTATTGCTGAGTGGAGTGGGACCTGCTGAGAACTCTTTGTAGGAGTTCCCTATAAATGGGCTGGCAATTGTTTAACTCCATTGGTATACACAAGACAATGGGCCAGGCACGGTGGCTCACACCTGTAGTTTCAGCACTTTGGGAGGCCAAGGAGGGAGGATCGCTTGAGGCCAGGAGTGCAAAACCAGGCTGGACAACATAACGAGACGCCTGTCTCTACAAAATAAATTTTAAAAAATTATTCCAGTGTAGTTGCATGGGCCTGCAGTCCCAGCTACTTCGGAGGCTGAGGCAGGAGGATTGCTTGAGCCCAGGAGATTGAAGCTGCAGTAACCTGTGATTGCACCACTGCACTCTAGCCTGTGTGACAAAGCAAGTCCCTGCCTCTGTTAAACAAACAAACAAGCAAAGACAATGATGCTGTATCACAGTGTAAGCCCTGAAACTCAAAGTTTATCTACTGACATCTAGACTCTGTATTTCTTTGGACTTTCAAAACAGAAGACTTTTCACTGAAGCTTTGATAGCAGAAGGAATGACATCAAAGTAGAAGTAGGCTAGCCATGAGCAGCCACACAACTTCTTAAAAATCATATTTGTGAGACGGCATGAAATTCTGTTGATTTTTCTGCTGTAAAAAGATTGACCTAGGTCTTTAAGTTAATTGCAGCAACCAGATGATGAGTTAAATAACATTTTTAAAGTAATTATATTTTTTCACACAGCTAATTTTTCCAAGGGATGCAGGATAGATTTACAAATTGTTTTGACCAGGTTTGTCAGTGATAAATTGAGCTTCTTTCTATAGAGGATCAAGCTGTACTCTTTGTTTCATATTGCTTACTTTTTATGAAACACATATTTCCAGTTAATTGTTATAGGTATGTTTTAGCTAATTTGGAAGTTGATAAGTTTTCTTTCTGAAAGAATAAAAGTATAAATTTGAATGTCAAATTAGTTTAGTTAATCTATAATTCATCCTTGATTATTTTATGATTCTATACAGCTTAAAAACTTAAAAAAGCATTACTTATTATGTAGGTACCATTTTTACAAATCATTCCATTTTCTGCACTTTTTACATTACCAACTTTAATTTTAGGCATATTATGGTATGTCAACACCAAACCAAGTAGGACCTGTTTTGTTCGATGCTATTTAAAAAATAAAAGTTCTATGGGATTCTGAGTTTTAAAATATTCCTCTCAGGGCTAACATTACACATATATAGGATTTGTTCATTAATTTATTTGATATTCATCCCAATAAACAGCCACTGAAAGCTTATTCGTTATAAAACACTGAGCTAAGTCGTGATGAGGTTACAAAGATGAATAAAATATAGCCCTGCTCCATGGGGAGTGCACTCATTGAGCTAACTACTTTGCAGAGATTCAAAATACAATGGCTTAAATAAGATAATAGGTTGGTGCAAAAGTAATTGCGGTTTTTGCCCTTACTTTTAAATGGCAATTACTTTTGCACCGACCTAATAGATACATGTCTCTTCTCATTATAGCAATCCCTAGGGCCAGCAACTTGCCAATAAGAAAGTGACCTGGAAATTGGGTATATCATTTCTGCCCACATCTCATTGGAATGAGTTTTGTACCACAGCTATCCTGGGAATGTAATCTCTAACTGGGTAGCCAGGTACCCAACTAGAATTTAGGGATTTCATTACCGAAAAGAAGAAGAACACAGCAATTAAAGAGATTGAATTATTAACAGATGTAGCAACATGGAAGAATCTCAAAAACGTTATGCTAAGCAGAAGTCAGTCACAAGAGGTTGAAAGTCAGCCACTTTCAGTGGCTGTTTATTGGGATGAATAGCAAATAAATTAATGAACAAATTCCATATATGTGTAATGTTTAGCTGTGAGAGAAATATTTTAAAACTTAGAATCCTATAGAACTTTTATTTTTTAAATAGCATCGAACATAAGAGGTCCTACTTGGTTTGGTGTTGACATACCATAATATGCTTAAAATTAAAGTCCTTGGTAATGTAAAAAGTGCAGAAAATGGAATGATTTGTAAAAATGGTACGTATATAATAAGTATTGCTTTTTGAAGTTTTTAAAAACCTTAAAAAACCTTAATCCTGTGTGATTCCATATGTATGAAACTCAAGGCAAGGCAAAACTCCAGTGTAGCAGGAACACGATTGCCTGAGACCTCGGTCTTGAGGAGCACGAGGAAACTCTTTTTGGGGTGATGGAAATGTTCGAGATCTTGATTGTGGTTACGTGACCATACAATTATCAAAACTCATTGAACTTAACACTTACAGTGAGTTAGTTATTATCATTGTGGTGCTGTTGTTATTATTGTCTTGAGTAGGGTTCACAGAATTTCAAGGGGGTTAAAAAATCACTGATTAAATTTGGAATTCTTGAAGCCCCCCCTGAAAAATCTAACATAGCTTTATTTTATTTAGAGTCCTTTTTATTTTTTTAAAACTTGGCAAGTATATGTTTCAATTAAGATAATTTACAATGACTGTTATACAAACAACTCCAAAGCTCAGTAGATTAACTGAGAAATAAACAGAATAAAAGATATATTTCTCACATCTGTCACAGCCTCTCTGGGTGGTGGGTTGGGTTGCTGTCCTTCCACAGCAGTTAGGGTTCTAGCTTCTTCCATCTAGGGGATCCACTGCCTTCTGGGACTTTAGAGTTGTCTGGGATCTTGGAATCATCTGCTAGATCTTCTGCAGCCAGTGACGGGTGGGGGGGAACAGAGGGTCTCATGAGATTTAGGGGTCAGGCCTAGAAGCAGCACACACACCTCTACCATATTTGAATGGCCTGAGTGGGTCGCATGACCACACCTAGAGGTCCACCTGGAAATGTAGTCTTCTTATGTGCCCAGGGTGAGAGGGAAATGGTTAGTGAATATATTGCCTTGTGGCTACGTGTATCATTAAAAAGTTCAAATCCTGTCTTTGCAACATAATAGTTGATTGAATTTGGGAAAGTGTCTAGGCCTCAGGTTGGTTGGTTTGTTTTTATTTCTAAAATGATGGCATAAATGATACCTACCAAGCAGGGCTGTTATGCGAACGAAATGAGATTATTCATGTAGAGTGCATAATAGAGGGCCTAACACACAGCAGGCACATCGAATTTCCTGCCTGATTCTCCTTGCATGAGGAGCAGACTGATTTAATCACTGTGGTTTTATAATATACTTCAATATTTGATCGGGCTAGTCTTTCACCAGTTTTCTTTTTTGTTTGTTCATTCGTTTGTTTTAATGTACCTTATTTTTTCAGAGCAGTTTTAGGTTGAAAGAAAATTTGAGTGGTAGGCACAGAGATTTCCCATATCCCCCATCCCCATATATACCCAGCCTCCCCTACTGCCAACATCTCCCACAACATCTCCCACCAGAATGATGCATCTGTTACCTCTCTGAACCTACATTGACACAACATTACCCAGTCTTCTTTTAATAAAATAAACACTTTTTGAGATGGCTTTTTCTTCCAGGTGAACTACTATGCAATTTTTTTCCCCTTCTGAAAGTGTGTCAGCCTGGCTTCTCCAGAAAGTAGAGGCCAAGACGAAAGGCTTAATGTTATTAGGAAGTGCAACCCCAGGAGACACCCAAGAGGGTCCCAGAGAATGAAGCAGGGAAAGTAGAGCCTAAACAAGAAGGTGCTAGCTCACTGGCTGCTTCTCTGTGCACCTGATTGTTTCTTTCTACAGGGCTATCCTCTGATAATTTGAACAGCGTCTCAAGCCAGTCAATCCACAAGGAAGAGGGGGCCCTCATAACTCATTGGTTTAAGTTTCACTCACTGGCCCTTATATCTCATTATATTTAAGTTTCACCCCATAGGGAGTTCACTCCACATACCTCAGGGTTGAACATGACTCAGAGCCTAGTGTTCCATGGTGTGTCATGCCCAGGTGTCAGATGGGGTCCTGGTCAGATCCCCGGCAGAGCCAGCGCAGGACAATTGGCAGAGCAATGGAAGGGATGCCGAGAGAACGTAAATATGGAATAAGTACCCTTCTTTCTGTTATCCAGTTTTCCCATTCTAGAACTTAGCAATACCATTTGAAAAGGAAGTTCTTCCATTTACTCCTAAAGGCATGTTCCTTATGTTCTCTTGGATTTGCTTCCATTAGGATCAAATCAACAAAAAGCTGTATTATAAAAGGGAGAGGGTGGGACCCCTTAACTTAATGAAGAAATGCCATCTCCTGATGTAACCACCAGTCCCTGTGAGGTAACCTAACTTAGTTAAAGAGAAAATGCAGACAGTATGATACTGTTTTGAAAGTCAGAGGGATTTGCTATTGCCTTTGGGGGAAAGACTTCACTCATTCCCTGGCATAGGAGCCCGGGGATTAGAGAATCAGTTAGCATTCTCCTGCCTCTCCCGAGCCACTTCTGATCATCATCAAGGCAACTTATATTCTCCCCAGATGCTTATTAAGGTACCCTACAGCTTTGTACTTAGCAGTAAATTACTCTTGTTCAAAACGTGGCTTGAGAACCACGTGATAGCCAACTTAGCACTGAATCCTATAGAATGTTCAGTGTCGAAAAAGACATGTGATGGATCTCCCTCAAACTATACTCCCCTGCCTGCCACCAAGAACTCAAACTCTTCCTAGACCATAAATAACATCCTGGGCACTGTAAATACCTCCAGTGAGCTATATGGAAGGAACTTGCCCCATCTTTTGACATGCTAGGAGTCTGAAAGTCAGTTACAGGTGATCGTTTTGCACTCAAGAGAATGGTCTCTATGAGCCTGGTTTTTCCGTCCTGTACAAAAAACTTAATGAGATCCAGGTGAAAAGTTTCTGGCCTACGATACTAAGGGGTCTAATACGTGCAACCAAAGATACCAGTTATTTGTCAGGATGATTATTCTGGGACACGCTGAGCTTTGGGTTGGTCCTTGTCCAACCACAGAATTGCTGCATGCCCTTTGGAGGTGTTTTACTAGCTTCTCCATGTCTAGATGTACTAGTGTTATTATACAATATCAGATTTCCCCACAAAATGCCAATGCAATTGGCTATTCATTTGTGTGCACCAACATTATTATTTACTGTACTTAGTCCGTTTTGTAGTATTTAGTGACCTTCACCAGAAGTTCAGCATTCTTGGCAGGCATTTTTCCCTTGGCCACAGAGGAACCCTGTATTTCTCTGGCTCTGGCTCCTTCCAAGAGATGGGAATGTAATAGCAGCAGCTGAAGATATGAAAATAACTGGGAACAAAATAGACATCAAATTCAGAAAAGGACTGAAAAAAAAAAAAAAACCAGCAGAAGCCGTTCTTTTTCGACACTGAACATTCTATAGGATTCAGTGCTAAGTTGGCTGTCACATTGCTATTTTAAACAGAGGGAAAAACATAGGTAGATCGACATGTGATTTTATATTTTAAACACAGATATAGAATTCTGACTCCAGATTTTACTCTTAGATCCATGTGGGTGATTAATCGTAAATTCTGAAAAACATGGTTACAAGAATAGAACAGACTTCTAATACAGTTCCCTTTTTAACCAGACATAAATAAAACTTTAGAACTTCACAAAAAAATGAGTCTAGTGGGGTGGATGATGTTTCTGTTAATAATTTTAGAGTGTGATTTTTTTCAGGTTTAAAAAAAAAAAGCTTCACTGATTGTAAGGCTGAAGTTCATTGAGATACACAATGTCTTTCAGTGAGCATTCCAAAAAACCGAATGTCTCCTTCTGGCATGAATTGTTCTTTCTGCAGCATTCCAAGCTGACACAGCCACATTTCTTCCGTTATATGTTCTATTACCCATGAGACTGCAGGAGAGTCCCACCTAAAAGCATTAATGTTGCTACATTACCATAAAAGTCTGCCCTGCGAGTATTACTTAAAAAACAAACAAATGGGCCGCATTAGAACAGATTGATAGCAGCCTCCCCTCTTGGATTGAAGAAAACATCCACTTAACACTCTGGTTGCTGTAGGTTCATTCCTGCAAAGAGGATATCAACTTCCAAGTTAAAGCCTTTCTACAGTGTACAGAGACATCCATTGCCTTTTTTGCTTTTTTTGTTTTTATTTTTCCCCTAAGGTATTTAAAATATGTGCAATATCTTAAATCTAAAGCTATCTTTCAGATTAAGAAGGAGAAATATTTAAACATTTATGCATTCAGTTCATGATTCAGAGATTTATTTATAAAACTGTTGATTTTGGGACACCCAACTCTTGCATTTAAACTGCCGAAGTGAGTCATGTTGTGGGAGGTAATTACTACCAGAAAGTACAACTAACTTGTAAGCTTCTCTTTAAAATGTCCACTCACAATCTACAATTACTGCAAATAACAGGCTTACCAGGACTTTTACTCTGTTTTATGGCTGTGTATATTTATTATGAGTGCATTAGGCAATACCCAAACATACTTTTCTCGCATAGGGGTTCTTATAGGAGAAATGAGTCCCTTTATTAGTATCAGTGTAGATTTCTGAGGATGTAGGATTGAAAAGATATAAACTCAAAGTATCCCTTCCATTACAGGAAACAGCCTGGGGAACAGCTGGTTCAAGAGTAATAATAGATTCCAATTGTCAGAAAATGTATACCTATGATTTGTGCATCGTTAAAGAGCATATCCAACCCACTGAAATTCTAGCAGGCACTTCCCTCTTTAACACCTCCATGCCTCTCTGAGGCTGACTTTGTGTCCTCCTGGGAGGCTGTCTGAGTCTTCATTCTGTGATTGATGAAGTCCACACCTAACTGACTAGAAGCTGAGTGGGCAGCTTCTTGTGGGCCATAATGTCAGAGTCTCTGAGAACATCCTGCAGTTCATGGTTCTTTCTGCACTGATCAATGCCTAAAATTTCACAGATAAGATGTCCAGAGGTGGCTTACACCTGTAATCCAGCACTTTGGCAGGCTGAAGCAGGAGGATCACTTGAGGCTAGGAGTTCAAGACCAGCCTGGGCAACACCATAGGGAGACCTGTCTCTACAAAAAAAAAAAAAAATTAGGAACAGAAATATCTAGAGAGCTGGTGTTGTAGAAAGGAGAAGGAGTAGTAGGAGGGAATTCGGTGTTTGAGTCAAAGTAAATAAGAGACTGCTGCAGCAGGGGTTGGGGAAATCACCCGAAAAGAAAGGCTGGAATTTCCAAAGACAAACTCTGGCTTCCTGATGTTTTTGCCCTGCCATATCCTTAACCTACCTTTGACTAAACCTTGCTCAAAGCAACTCCACTGGGATACCAAGGCCACCCAGTCTTCCCTAAAGCTCCCTTGACTCCTGCAACAAACACATACTCTTCTTCGGTGGGCTTGAGACTTAACCAACTAAATAACCATGCCTCTTTACACTGCCTATGATCCAACAGCCTTATTGGACCTGTCCACGTTCATTCATTTGTACTGTTTCACTCATAATTTATTCAATACTATTGATCGAGTGCCCTCTATGTGTCAGTTGTTGTGCCAGGCCAGGCATGGTGGTTCACGCCTGTAATCCCAACACTTTGGGAGGCCAAGGCGGATCACCTGAGTCCAAGAGTTCAAGACTAGCCTGGCCAACATGGCAAAATCCCATCTCTACTAAAAATACTAAAAAAAAAAAAAAAAAAAAAATTAGCTGGGTATGGTGGTGGGTTCCTTTAATCCCAGCTACTCGGGAGGCTGAAGCAGGAGAATCGCTTGAACCTGGGAGGCGGAGGTTGCAGTGAGCCGAGATCGCGCCATTGCACTCCAGCCTAGGCAACAAGAGTGAAACTCCATCTCAAAAAAAAAAAAAAAAAAAAATTGTTGTGTCAGGTGCCGGAACATAACCCAATCCCTGTCTTTGAGGAGCATATTGACTGGCTGGAAAGACAGACCTCAAGAGTGGCATTTCCGAACTGCATGACAAATGTTACGTAGGAGTGAGTGGTTTTAGGGAGACACATCAGAAAGGCACCATACCTGAGCCTGGGGAACAGAAAGCACTTCCCACGAGTGCCCATGTTTCAGCGAAGACCTGAAAGAAAAGAGAGGATAGGCAGGGGACTAAAGGGGAAAACGAAGGTGAAGAGACCAGGTATAATATACTGTGCAGGAGGAAAGGAAGAAGCCAAAGCCTGTGAAAAACGTGAACGTGCAGTTCAGGGACATGTGATTAGTCCAAAATGGGTGGAGCCGACTTTAGATCAATAATAGAGTGATGATAGAGGAGGCTGGACAGGGAGACCAGAATGTGAAGGACCTTGTGTGCCACACTAAGGAGTTTGAATGTCAGTGGGACCTATTGAAGGACACATCCTATGTGCTTCATTTTCCTTCCAGGTACTACTGAGGCCTGACCCTGCTAAGCCTCCCAGATCAGATGAGACTCGCTGTGTTCAGGGTGGTATGGCTGCAGACCCCATGTAGGGTGTTTCTATTGGAGCAGCCATCCATCAGATTCTTTATATGCTTGCATCTAAGCTTGCAGGCTTAATCTTGAACAAGTTTGTACACCCCCAAAATTTGGCCAGCTTTCCTCTCCTAACTTTCCTCAGTTGACCTCGGTCATGGCCAGAACTACACACTCTTTGAGTCTTCTGACTTGTGGCGTTGCCTAATTTGTTCCACCTCTCTCAGCCACACACTCCACACTCCTCAACTTTACGATCCATCTGGACCCACAGTTTACCTGTAACCCTTCTAGTTCGCATATTTCATGGAAGTCTCTCTCTTGCTCAATTTTAACTCAAATTCAGGTCTGGAACATATAAAAATGTTACCATTCACTCAACAAATATTTAAGGAATTAGTACTACATGTTAGGAAGTGTTCCAGGCAATACAGTAATGACCAAAAAAGATTAAGTTTCTACCCTCATGGAGTTGACATTTTAGAGGAAGAAAATAGACAAACAATATATCAGGTGGCAATATATTGTTGTTTAATAATCATTGGTATTTAAAAATTGGTATGAAATAATTATGGTTATAAAGAAAACTTAAGTTAGGACTGCTGGAGTGTGTTATTTTATATAAGATTTATATATATATATATGTACACACAAATATATATACGTATACCCATAGACAAACACAAATAGAATTAATACATGCTTCTATAAACATGTACCAACAAATTTTTAATGACTTCAGGTTTCAACAATTAAAAATGTCATATAACTAGTTTGAAGTTAGAGATAAGTGATGTTATTGTCACTTATAAATTTCAGGTCTCAAGAATCTTTCTGATTTTTTATTTATCAAATTCAATGTGTAATTATATTTTTAGCCTTGTAGTGTAATATAGTACACAGGATTTTGCAGTAATCTTATAGTCTTTCCTTGGTTTGAAATACAAATGTGACACATTGTATTTCTGAATTAGCATTTTTCATTAGGAAAATATAAACATTTCTTTACATTTTCTTTTAATTTTCCATTTAGAATGATGGCAAAACATTATTGGTACAACCTTGTGGGCAAGAGTAGGGATTTTGATAGAGTGATGTAAGTTCTATAATATGTGCCTAATAGGAGTGACAGCAAAGGGGGATGGAGGAGCAATATATGATAAAATAAGAGCTGAGAATTTCCAGAATTGTAAGATGGCAGGAGTACTCTGATTAAAAGCACACTAGTAGCAAGCAGGATAAATAAAAATAAATGTACAACATAGTAAAATTGAAGAACATCAACAAAGAAGAGGCAAATATTAAAAGCTATCAGAAATAACAGATTCCATGCAAAGGAACACTCAATAGATGGACAGTGGACTTAAGATGTAAGAAGACAGTGATTATCTTCCTGGGCTGAGAGAAATTAACTTTCAATTGAGAATTTTATACCAAGCAAAACTATTAAAATGCATAAAATTAGGACATTTTTATAATCACAAAGACTTAGACAAGTAACCAATCATAAACTATCATTACAGGATATTCTTTTAAAAATGAATGTAAAGAGCTTTTGCATGGCAAAAGGAACAGTCAGCAGAGTAAACATACAACACACAGAGTGGGGGAAAATCTTCACAATCTATACATCCAACAAAGAACTAACACCCAGAATCTACAAGGAACTCAAACAAATTAGTAAGAGAATAACAATCCCATCAAAAAGTGGGCTAAGGACATTAATAGACAGTTCTCAAAAGAAGATGTACAAATGGCCAACAAACATATGAAGAAATGTTCAACATCACTGATGATCAGGGAAATGCAAATCAAAACCACAATGCAATAACACCTTACTCCGGCAAGAAAGGCTATAATAATAAAAAAAAAAAATAGATGTTGGCGAGGACGCAGTGAAAAGGTAACACTTCTGCATTGCTGGTGGGAATGTAACTAGTACAAACATCATGGAAAACAGTGTGGAGATTCCCTAAGAGCTAAAAGTAGAACCGCCATTTGATCCAGCAGGAAAAAATATGCCTGGAAACTTGAATAACACAGGTTAAAGAGGGAAATCACAATAGAAATTACATTTAGCATTAAACAGTAATGAATGTACTACATAGCAAATGGCTAAAGTTATGGTAGTCAGAGGTGAATTTATAACACAAAATGACATCTTTAAGAAATAAGATATATTGGCCAGGCGCAGTGGATCACGCCTGTAGTCTCAGCACTTTGGGAGGCTGAAGCGGGCACATCACGAGGTCAAGGAGTTCGAGACCATCCTGGCCAACATGGTGAAACCTCATCTCTACTAAAAATACAATTAGCCAGGCACGGTGGCACGCGCTTGTAATCCCAGCTACTCCGGAGGCTGAGGCAGGAGACTCGCCTGAACCTGGGAGTGTGGAGATTGCAGTGAGCCCAGATCGCACCACTGCATTCCAGCCTGGGCGACAGAGCAAGACTCCGTCTCGGTGGGAGGGAAGGAAAGAAGACATGTTAAAATAAATTAGCAATTGGATTAAAAAGTTAGAAAAAGAAAAGCAAAATAAACACAAGAAATGTAGAAGAAAAGAAATAATAAAGAATAGAAATTAATTAAACAAAGGAGCAATAGAGAGGATAAATAAAACCAAAAGCTTTTTATTTGAAAAAAACAACAAGAGAACAATCAAGAAAAAATACAAAAGGCACAAATGTATAATACTAGCATCTAAATAGGGGACTTTCCTATAGATATATGTGTTTTTTAAAAATACATTTTATTGTGTATATTTGAGATTTGCGACAGGATATTATAGGAAACATATAGTCAAGTGGTTACTATAGTGAAGCAGATTAACATACTTGTCATCTTACATAGCTACTAAAATCTACTTAACAAAAATTCCTAATACAGTACAATTTTATTAACTGTAGTGCTCATGTTGCACATTAAATCTCTAGACTTGTCCATCCTACATATTTGCTATTTTATATCCTTTGACCTACATCTCTCACTTCCTCTCCCCACCCCACCATGGGAACCACTGTTTTTCCTGATAGAGATTTTTTTTTAAACCACAAAATACTACTAGTAACAAATTTAAAATTTTAGATGAAATAATTTCTTTAAAAATAAATTACAAAAATTAATTGAATGAAAAATTTGACAATATGAATAGTCTAATCGCTGTTAAAGAAGTGAAGTCAGCAACCAAAACTCTTCCCCACCAAAAAGCCACCAGGTACTGATGATTTTACAGCTAGGTGTTATATCTTCAAGGTATGGATAGTCTCTAACTTATGTACATTATTTCAGGGAGCTGGAAAAGAGGAAAAGCCACAGAGCTTATTTTCAAACCTAGTGTAATCTTGAGATCAGAAAAAAATATAAGAGAAGAAAACTGTAGATTCATTTCATTTATCAGCAGAGAGATAAAACATTCTAATTCAAATGGTAGCAAACCAAAATCAGCAGTGTTTGTGTTCCAGTTGGGTTCATATCAGGAATGGAAGGGTGGTTTCAAGAAGAGATTCCAAAATCTTTTGATATGGTATACCATATTTAGACGTTAAGAAAAGCCTTATGATTATCTCAGTAACTCCAGAAAAAGCATTTGGTGAAAAATTAATATTCATCATAATTAAAAAATTAAACTAGGAATAGAAGTGAATTTTATTTACCTAATATTCAAAATCTACGTAATCCTGCATATTGATGAGACTTTAGAAGCATTACCATTAAAGTCAGAGACAAGATAAAGATATTTTATGTCACCACTTCTATTCAGTAATGTACTAAAGGTTATAGTCGATCCAGTAAGACAGATAAAAACATAAGGGTATAGAATTGGAAAGAAATATGAAGCATATTTACATACACATACAATCTAAGAGGTATTATTTCTAATGATTAACCAATATACGATTCTAAAAGTAGAGAGTTGATCTAGATTTTTGGATACAAAGCATAGCATAATCAATAACACTCTAGTAACCAGAAAAGCAATACAAAAAACATACTTTTCACAATGACAACAAAGACTATAATTTACCTAAGAAGCAATCTAATAAAGATATACAAGATAATGAAAAAATATATAGCATTATTGAAGTAAAGGAAGTCCTAAATAAATGGAGAAGTCCCGAGTAAAAACCATGTTTTTGGATAGGAAGATTCACTATAATAAAGATGGCAGTTCTCTCCAAATTTATTTATAAATCCAATGCAATTCCATCAGAGTTTTATATTTAACTTGACAAGTGTCCCTAATATTTAAATGGTAGAGAAAAGGACAACAATAGCCAAAAAAAAAAAAAATTGAAGACGAACAAGGTGAGAAAGAGATGAATAATTTTTGTAAAATTATAGTGATTACTACAATGTGATTCTGGCACAGAGACAGACAAGATGACAAGTGGAATAGAATACAGAGCTCAGCCCCATGCATACAGGGAAATGTAATATGTCAAGAGCTGCATTACAGATCAGTGGGGTAATAAAATGGTGGTGGAGCAATTAATTGTCCATATGGAAAATGATAAAATTTAATTCTTACCTCATTCCCCAGACCGAATTAAAAACTAAATGTGTAGAGCAGCATTTTAAAAATTTAGATAATAGCATATGAGAATATCTTTAAGACGTGAGGGTGGAAAGAGAGTTCTTGAACAATATACTAAGCAATTAAGAAAAAAAACTGATAAATTTAGCTCCATTAAAATATAAAACTTCTTTATAAAAAAGATACTATAAATAATGTTAAGATAAAACTTAGACCAAAAGGAGGTATTTACAATGCATATGGCTGACAAAGGATTAGTTGCCAGCCTATATAATGATTGCCTGCAAATTAAAAAGAGAGAGAGAGAAATCGCTCAATAAAAAATAGACAGTTACATCAGATAGCAGTCTATAGAAGAGGATTACCTAATGACCAGTGAACTTATAAAACATTGTTAAACTTTTTCTAGTAAACAGAGAAATGCAAAATAAAAGTAAGTTGCCACTTCACATCATAAGATGAAAAAAATTACTTAAAGCCTGATGATACCAAATGGTGGCTTGGATGTGAAGCAAGGTGAACTCTCAAATATTTCTGTTGGGAATGTTAATTTGCACAAAGTATTTGGAGAATAATTTGACAATATCTACTAGAGATGAAACTCCGTATACCCCATGCACCAGCTTTCCAGCCCTAAACAAAGATCCTTCACAGAGGAACATTTGAAGATTGCTGTGCAAGGACACTTTTATATGAATGTTCATTGTAGCAGTGCTAGAAATGGCAAAAATCAGGAAGCCACTTAAATGTCCATCAGTAGGAGAATAAACAAATTTTTATACAAGCAAGTAAAAAACCCCAAAAAACAAATACCATTTAAATGAATGAACTGGAGCCACATGTATCAACATGGATTAATTTCATAAATATAACATAGAAGGAAAAATTTCATAAAACATAATATAGAAAATCATAATATGTAAAATATGTCATTTATTTATATAAAGTTTATAATCCATCAAAATGCTATACATTATTATGGAGATTTCTAAATATGTAGCAAAGTAAAAAAATTTACATGATAAAGATAAACACCAAATTACTGACAGCAACTATCACTGGGGATGGAGAGAGGTGAATAAGATCCAGGAAAGGTATCTAGGGGGCTTCAACTTTATCTGTAATATTTAATTTCTTAAAAGACAAATCTGGGGCAAATATGGTAATATCTCAAATTCTGATAAAGCATGGGGGTACAATGTGTTTTCTATATTAATTTTGTACTGTCCCATGTCCATTCATTCAAAATGAGTACCTAGTATATCCCAAACTACTAGAACCAAAGATAGAGCACTGAACTACAAATAGAGCACTGAACAATAGACAAAAATCTTCAGCTACGTGGAGTTTATATTCTAGTGGGTATTTTTAAAACTTCACACTTTTTGAAAAGGGAAAAAAGAATAAAAGACAAATAATTGGACACAAGGAAATAATTCAGTTCCACAATAAAGAGACTTTAGCATCATCAATAATGGATAGAATCAGATAGAAGATAAAGTAAAGAAATAGAGAATTTGAACAACACAATAAAGCAAAGGGTTATGACAGACATATACAGAACACTCTACTCAATAATCACAGAATACACATTCTTCTCAAGTGCACACGGGACATTCTCCAGGACAGACCATAGGTTAGCTAGGTCACAAATTAAGTATTAACAGATGTTTAAAAGATGATATCATACAAAGTATTTTTTCTGACCAAAACAGGATGAAGATAGAAATCAATTAGAGAAAGAAAACTGGAAAGTTCACCAATTTGTAAAAATTAATACACTATTAAACAATCAATGGATCAAAGAAGAAATCACAAGAAAAAAAAGAAAATACTTAGAGACAAATGAAAACAAAACACAACATTCCAAAACATATGGGATACAGGGAAGGCAGTGCTATGGGAGAAATTTATAACTATAAATGCTTACATTAAAAAGCAAGAATGATCCCAAATAAACAACCTAACTTTGCAACTTAAGTAACTAGAAAAAAAAGAACAAATTAAACTCAGAGCTATCAGAAGGAATAAAATAATAAAGATTAGAGCAGAGATAAATGAATAGAAAATAGTAATAATAAGTAAATAGAAAAATAATAGAGAAAATCAGTGAAACCAAAAAATGTTTAAGAAGATCAACAAAATTGACAAACCTTTAGCTAGGCTAAGAAAAAAAGAGAGAGAAGACTCAGTTTGCTCAAATCAGAAAGAAAATAGGAACATTATTACTGATTCTGTGAAAATAAAAAAGATTATAAGAGAATTCTATGAGCAATATATGCCAACAAATTAGACAACCTAGATAAAATTCCTAGATAAAAACCTAGATAAAAAAACCTAGAAACACAAAACTTACCAAGACTGTATCACAGAGAGTTAGACAATCAAAAAACACTTATGGTTATTAAGGAAATTGAATCAGTAATCCAAATCTCTCAACAAAGAAATGTCCTTGACTTGATGGCTTCACTGGTGAGTTCTACCAAACATTTAAAGAACTAATACCAATCCTTCTCAAACTCTTCCAGAAAATTGAAGAGGAGAAAACACTTCATAACTCATTCTGGCACCAGCATTACCCTGACACCAATGACAGAAAAAGGCACTACAAGAAAACAAAACCACAGAACAATACCCCTTATGAACATTGATGCAAAAATCCTCAACAAGATATTAGCAAATTGAATTTGGCAGCATATTAAAAGGATTATTTATCATAACTATGTGGGATTTATTCCTGGAATGCTAGGATGGCTCTACATATAAAAATCAATCATTGTAATATACCATATTAACAAAAAGAAGGGGGAAAATGTGGATATTTTAATTAAAACAGAATAAGCATTTGACAAGATTATACACAATTATATGATGAAAACACCCAAGAAACAAAAAATAGAAGAAAACTACCTCAACCTAACAAAGACCATATATGAAAACCCCACTGAAAACATCATACTCAATGGTGAAAGAGTGAAAGCTGTTTCTCTAAGATCAAAGACAAGACAAGGATGCCCACTTTCACCACTTTTATTCAATAATTCAATATAGTACTGGAAGCCACAGCCAAAACAATTAGGCAAGAAAAAATATCAAAAGCATCTAAATTGGGAAGGAAGAAGTAAAATTACCTCTGTTTGCAGGTAATATGCTCTTATATGTAGAAAACTCTAAAGATTCCACACCACAAAAAAAAAACTCTGTTAGGACCAATAAAGGAATTCTGCAAAGTAGCATAATAGAAAGTGGGATACAAAGTCAACATACAAACATAAATTTCATCTTTATACACTAAAAATGAACAATCTGAAAGGGAAATTTTGAAAACAATTCCATTTATTTATTTAGTTTTTTAATTCCGAATAAAATTTTTTGTTTATTTATCTTTTTTTTATTATACTTTAAGTTTTAGGGTACATGTGCACAACAGGCAGGTTAGTTACATATGTATACATGTGCCATGTTGGTGTGCTGCACCTAGTAACTCCTCATTGAACATTAGGTATATCTCCAAATGCTATCCCTCCCCACTCCCCCACCCCATAACAGGCCCCAGTGTGTGATGTTCCCCTTCCTGTGACCATGTGTTCTCATTGTTCAATTCCCACCTATGAGTGAGAACATGCGGTGTTTGGTTTTTTGTCCTTACGATAGTTTGCTGAGAATGATGGTTTCCAGCTTCATCCATGTCCCTACAAAGGACATGAAGTCATCATTTTTTATGGCTGCATAGTATTCCATGGTGTATATATACCACATTTTCTTAATCCAGTCTATCATTGTTGGACATTTGGCTTGGTTCCAAGTCTTTGCTATTATGAATAGTGCCGCAATAAACATATGTGTGCATGCGTCTTTATAGCAGCATGATTTATAATCCTTTGGGTATATACCCAGTAATGGGATGGCTGGGTCAAATGGTATTTCTAGTTCTAGATCCCTGAGGAATCACCACATTGACTTCCACAATGGTTGAACTAGTTTACAGTCCCAACAACCGTGTAAAAGTGTTCCTAGAATTGGAAAAAACTACTTTAAAGTTCATATGGAACCAGAAAAGAGCCTGCATCGCCAAGTCAGTCCTAAGCCAAAAGAACAAAGCTGGAGGCATCACGCTACCTGACTTCAAACTATACTACAAGGCTACAGTAACCAAAACAGCATGGTACGGGTACCAAAACAGAGATATAGATCAATGGAACAGAATAGAGCCCTCAGAAATAATGCCGCATAACTACAACCATCTGATCTTTGACAAACCTGACAAAAACAAGAAATGGGGAAAGGATTCCCTATTTAATAAATGGTGCTGGGAAAACTGGCTAGCCATATGTAGAAAGCTGAAACTGGATCCCTTCCTTAACACCTTATACAAAAATTAATTCAAGATGGATTAAAGACTTAAATGTTTGTTAGACCTAAAACCATAAAAACCCTAGAAGAAAACCTAGGCAATACCATTCAGGACATAGGCATTGACAAGGACTTCATGTCTAAAACACCAAAAGCAATGGCAACAAAAGCCAAAATTGACAAATGGGATCTAATTAAACTAAAGAGCTTCTGTGCAGCCAAAGAAACTACCATCAGAGTGAACAGGCAGCCTACAGAATGGGAAAGAATTTTTGCAATCTACTCATCTGACAAAGGGCTAATATCCAGAATCTACAATGAACTCCAACAAATTTACAAGAAAAAAACAACCCCATCAACAAGTGGGCAAAGGATATGAACAGACACTTCTCAAAAGAAGACATTTATGCAGCCAAAAGACACGTGAAAAAATGCTCATCATCACTGGCCATCAGAGAAATGCAAATCCAAACCACAATGAGATACCATCTCACACCAGTTAGAATGGCAATCATTAAAAAGTCAGGAAACAATTCCATTTATAATAGCATGAAAAACAATAAAATACTTAGAGATTAACTTAACAAAGGAAATGAAAGACTTGTATGATGAAGACTGCAAAATATTGCCAAAAGAAGTTTAAAAAGACATAAATAAATGGAACACATTCCATGTTCATGGATAAGAAGAAAATTTTATTAAAATGTCAATATTATCCAAAGTCATCTAGAGATTCATGCAATCCTTATAAAAATTCCAATGATCATTTTTTCTGCAATAGAAAATCCATCCTAAAATTCATATGGAATCTCAAGGGACCCAAAATAGCCAAAACAATCTTAAAAAAGGAAAAAAAACCCTGAAGGATTCACACTTCCTGATTTCAAAACTTAGTACAAAGCTATAGCAATCAAAATAGCATGATACTGGCCTGAAAACAGACACATAGACCAATTAAACATAACAGAGAGCCCAGAAATAACCTCTTGCTTATATGGTCAAATGATTTCAATAAGGTTGTCAAGACCATTCAGCAGAGAAAGAAGAATTTTTTCAACAAATTTTTGAAAACTGGATATGCATATGCAAAGGAATGAAGTTAGACCCTTATCTACCTTATACAAAAATTAAATCAAAATGGATCAAAGACTTAAAGCTAAGAGATAAATCTGTGAAACTCTTAGAAGAAAACATTGGGTAAAAGCTCCACAATCTTGGATTTGGCAAGAATTTCTTGCATATGACATCAAAGGCAAGGCAATAAAATGAAAACCAATTGGACTTCATAAAAACTAAAAACTTTTGTGCATCAAAGGACACTATCAACAGAGCAACAAGGCAACACAGGCAATTGGAGAAAATATTTTCAAATCATATATCTGATAAGGGATTAATATTCAGAACATACAAAGAACTTCTGAAACCCAATCTAAAAAATAACTTGATTCCAAAAGGGCAAAAGACTTAAATAGACATTACTCCCATGAAGATATACAAGTGATCAATAAGCACATGAAAAGATGCTCAACATACTTATCATTAGGGAAATGCAAATCAAAACTACAATGAGGTGCCACCTCACACTCATTTGGATGACATCTATTAAAAATAGGCTTAATGCCTGGATGATTAAATAATCTGCACAACAAATCCCCATGACACAAGTTTACCTGTGTAATAAACCTGCACTCGTATCCCTGAACTTAAAAGTATAAAAACCCCAAAGATATTGAGTGTTGGTAAGGATTTGGAGAAATTGGAACCCTGTGCACTGTTGATGAGAATGCAAAATACTATAGTCACTGTAAAAAAATGATTGTTTCTAAAAAAAGAAAATAGAATTACCATATGATTCAGAAATTCCACCTGTTAGTATATACCCCAAAGAACTGAAGGCAAGGTCTCCATTAAAAAGTGGGCAAAGGGCATGAACAGACACTTTTCAAAAGATGACATACATGTGGTCAACACCCATAAGAAAAAAAGCTCAACATCACTGATCATTAGAGAAATGCAAATCAAAACCACAACGATATATCATCTCACACCTGTCGGAATGGCTATTACTAAAAAGGCAAAAAAATAACAGATGCTGGTGAGGTTGTGGAGAAAAAAGAATGCTTACACACTGTTGGTGGGAGTGCGAATTAGTTCAGCCATTGTTGAAAACAGTGTGGTGATTCCTCAAAGACCTGAAAAAAGAAATACCGTTTGACCCAGCAATCCCATTACTGGGTGTATACACAAAGGAATATAAGTCATTCTATCATAAAGACACATGCGTATGTATGTTCATTGCAGCACTATTCACAATAGCAGAGACATAGAATAAACCTAAATGCCCATCAATTGTAGAATGGATAAATAAAATGTGGTATATATACACCATGGAATACTATGCAGACATAAAAAAGAATGAGATCATGTCCTTTGCAGGAACATGGGTGGAGCTGGAGGCTATTATCCTTAGCAAACTAATACAGTAACATAAAACCAAATACTGCATGTTTTCACTTACAAGTGGGAGTTAAATGATGAGAACACATGGACACATAGAGAGAAACAACAGCACTAGGACCTATCTGAGAATGGAGGGAGGAAGGAGAGGATCTGTATAAATAGCTAATGGGTACTAGGCTTAATACCCGGGTGATGAAATAATCTGTACAACAAACCCCCATGAAACAAGTTTACCTATATAACAAACCTGCATATGTACCCCTGAACTTAAAAGATTTTTTAAAAAAGAAACCAGGGTCTCAAAGAGATATTTGTATATCCATTTTCATTGCAGCATTATTTGCAATGGCTAAAACATGGAAACAAACCACATGTCCAACAATGAATGAATGAATAAGCAAAATGTGGTATATATGTACTTACAGTGGAATATCACAGAACCTTAAAAAGTTAGAAAGCTCTGACACATTCTACAACACAGGTACATTTTGAGGTTATTATACTATGTGAAATAAGGCAGTCACAAAAAAGACAAATACTGCATGATTCTACTTATATCAGGTACCTACAGTAGTCAAAATTATAAACACAGAAAGAAGAATAGTGGTTGTCAGGGGCTAGCAGGAGAAAGGAATGAGGAGTTATTGTGTAACAGGTACAGAGTTTCACTGGACTCCTACCTATCACTATATGCAAAAATTAACTCAAGATGGATTAAAGACTTAAATTTAAGACCTAGAACTATAAAAATACTAGAAGAAAACCTAGGAAATATCCTTCTGGGCACCAGCCTTTGCAAGAATTAATGATTAAGTCCTCAAAAAAAAATTGCAATAAAAACAAAATTTGACAAATGGGACCAAATTAAACTAAAGAGCTTCTGAACAGCAAAATAAACTATCAACAGAGTAAACAGACAACCTACAGAAAGGGAGAAAATATTTGCAAACTACACATCCAACAAAGGTCTAATATCCAGAAATGATAAGGAACTTAAACAATTAAGCAAAAAATAAAACCCCATTAAAAAGTGGGCAAAGCACATGAACAGACACTTCTCAAAAGACACACAAGCAGCCAACAAACACAAAAAAATGCTCAACATCACTAATCATCAGAAATATGCAAATCAAAACTACAATAAGATACCATTTCACACCAGCAATCCCATTACTGGGTATATACCCAAAGGAAAATAAATTGTTCTACCAAAAAGGCAAATGCACTCCTATGTTTATTGAGGCATATTCACAATAGCAAAGGCATGAAATCAACCTAGGTGCCCATCAATGGTGACTTCAATAAAGAAAATTTACAAATTTACATAAGTTGACATATCTAGATAAAGTTACATATACATCATGGGATACTACACAGCCATAAAAAAAGAATGAAATCATATCCTTTCCAGCAACGTGGGTGCAGCCAGAGGCCATTATCCTAAGCAAATTAAAAGGCAAACAGAAAACCAAATACCACATGTTCTCACTTATAAGTGGGAGCTGAACATTGCATTGGGTGCACATGGACATAAAGGTGGGAACGATAGATATTGGTCACTACAGGAGAGAGGAGGAAGGAGGGAGGCAAGGGAGGCCAAACTACTTATTGGGTACTGTGCTCATTACCTGGGTGATGGGTTTAGTCCTACCCCAAACCTCATCATTATGAAATATACCCTTGTAACAATCCTGCACATGTACTCCCTGAATCTAAAATACAAATTGAAATTTTCAATAAATAATAGGTATAGAGTTTCAGTTTTGCAAGATGCAAAGAGTCGGGAGGTAGATGGTAGTGATGATTGCCACCAAGTACAACATGGATGTACTTCATACCACTAAACTGTGCACTAGACAATGGTTATGATGGCAAATTTTATATGTGTATTTTACAGCAATAAAGTAAATATTTTTTCTTTCTTTCTTTCTTTCTTTTTTTTTGAGACGGAGTCTCGTTCTGTTACCCAGGCTGGAGTGTAGTGGCGAGATTTCGGCTCACTGCAAGCTCCGCCTCCTGGGTTCACACCATTCTCCTGCCTCAGCCTCCTCCGTAGCCGGGACTACAGGCGCTCGCCACCACGCCTGGCTAATTTTTTTGTATTTTTAGTAAAGACGGGGTTTCACTGTGTTTGCCAGGATGGTCTCAATCTCCTGACCTCGAGATCCTCCCGCCTCGGCCTCCCAAAGCGCTGGGATTACAGGCGTGAGCCACCGCGCCCGGCCTAAAGTAAATATTTTCAAAAGAGCAAAGGTACAAGGAGGGGCCAAGGGAGTTTAGAGTATTTGCAAGAGAGTAGTTGGAGTAATGGACCACGGAATCCGAGAGTAGTTGGGGTAATGGACCATGGAATCCAACCTGGATAGGAGGGAAGTAGAAAGTGGGGAGATGAGTGGAAGTACCACTGAAATTGCAGAAGAGAGTGCCATGGGGTTCTTGAGCAGGCACGCTGGAACAACAACAACAAACTGGTTGTAGAGGTTTGAACTGGTGAGGGTTTTGAAGTGGAGCATTATTATCCACTTGATGGGATACTACGAATGCTTTTCCATTTCAAAAGAAATATTCCATTGCATGCATTTTAATAATGTATTCCATTTTATAGATGTAACAATTTAACCAATCTCTTCTTATAATTATTATTTTAAATCATAGTGACAAAATACTGTTAGTTTTATTTCAACTAATAAATTTATGATCCTTTCAGAAATCCTCACCAAGAAGTCTCTGACCTTATTGAGACTGGTGGGAAAAAACTCCTGGGATTCCAGAAAAACTCAAGACCAAAGCTACTGACTGGTGCCCTTTCTAAGGAGAAACACAACTGTGATTTTCCTTGAGGTGGACAGCATGGAATTCCTCTGCACACTTAGTCATGTGGGGAGAGAGATCGTGTAACTGCACTTGCCCCTTAATGTATATGAATTTCTTAGTTAACGCAACAAAATTTACTGAGCAGCTTCCACGTAAAAAGAACTCTATCTGGAACTGGAAATGTAAAAATGCTCTCAAATATAGTAGGCATAATTATATGAGTACATAAATTATTATAATAGAAAGTAAATGCAGAGGCAGATTTTCCATGAAGCAAATAAAACTCGAGCATCGGTGCCCCTCACTTACATGGGCCCCTTCCAACACTCTGGGAGAGACCCTATACATATACTTATGTGGTCATGTATTCTGGTAAAATTTGCAAAAGTGAAATTTTTTTAAAAAATCTTCAGTTAAACTGCTGTCTCTTTTTCCTCTGACTTTCCCTACTGTTAGAATGGCCAAGGACATTTTTGAGGTCCAAAAAAGGCAAAGTTATTGAAGACACATTCAGTTGAGTTTATTGAAATACATGTCTGGGGCTCACAGATATTTTGCTGTCAACCAAAAAGTTATTGCACCCAGCACAGGAAGTAGGTGAGTGCTGGAGGAGACACAAGGTTTGAAGTGCATGGAGCCAGGAGCTAGTCTGTGGAACAATGCTTCTAATCAGACATATAAAACTGAACAGTGGATTTCGTTCCCATCAGTGCCTGGTCAAAACAATTCTCTGAAAAAACCCCAGAATTCTCTGACTTCAGGAATACTTTCAATAACACAGCATAAGCAGTTCCAATTATACATGCTCTATCCGTTTGTTTTCTTTTTGTTGGTAATTACACAAAATAATAGAATGTGTGGATTTCTAGGGCACAAACCTGTAGCAGTATTTCAAAGAATAAGTGCATCTGTATGTGAAGTTGTATCTTTTATTCATTCCAATTATTGACAGTAAAAAATTATGACCATTATGGAAGACTGAACTATCTTTCCATGTCCTGTACAGAAAATATTAGTTAAGTAACTGTGGTAGGTAGTTGACTAATACAAATGTTATTTGTTTAGATTGTGGAATGTCTGTTGTATCTGTTAACTTTTTCAAAACTTCGTTGTAATTTCTTTGTTGTTGTTGTTGTTGTTGTTGTTGTTCAGAAGCAGAGTCTCGCTCTGTCGCCTAGGCTAAACTGCAGTGGTGCAATCACAACTCACTTCAGCCTCGAACTCCTGGGCTCAAGTGATCCTCCCACCCCAGCCTCCTTACAAGCTAGAACTACAGATACTTTTCCAATTCTAAATAAATATTCATTTTCATGCCTAATTTTGTATTAATCACTTCCAATTATTTTCCCTAAAGAGGTCCCCCCAAATTGTTTAAGCTTCAAGCCCCACATAACTTGGATTTACCCCAGTACGAAGTAATGACTGTGATACGAGAGAAATGTAAGAGAGCTTTTGGGAGTTCTGAGAAGGAAGAAATTATTAGTTACAGAGATGATGAGGGAAAGGTTTATCTAAGTTATGATTGAGTGGAAGAACTTGAATTCAGAGATATGGCAAATGATGCTCTCAATGAAAAATGGAATTCTTCATAACATTTTAATAATTTCTCTCCCCAAATCTACTCACTCAAATACTCTATTATTGACACATTCTCATCTCTACATGCATATTTCTTTCTGTTCTCATAGATAAAAACCTTTTCTGCTGAAGTTTTGTGGCCATGGGTTCAAGCAACAAATTAGTGCAAACCTGCTGGGTGTTCAAGGAAGAGAATTTCCCAGGATGGATTCTGGGTAGGGGTTCAAACCAGGAGAAATGTAACAATTCTGTCATGTAATCCAGACCCTATTATATGAATTATGTGGCAACAAAACAAACTTTCTTCTCTGCTCTTCAATTATTGTATAATTGGTGAGCAAGAGTCGGAGAAAGTCCTATTTTTAAGTTCTATGCTGCGCTCACCTTCATTCACTCATGAGAAGGAAACAGTCATAATATTCAGAAGCCAAGCATGGTTTCTCCTATGGAGCAATGTCATCAAGGTACCTTTATACCATATCCATAACTTGTTTGGAGAGAGAATGATGTGTGTGTGTGTGTGTGTGTGTGTGTGTGTGTGTGTGTGTGTGTGTGAGAGAGAGAGAGAGAGAGAGAGAGGACAGCAACAAGGATTGACCATGTTCTGTGAAGGGTGGAGGTCCCCGAAGGAAGTGCCTGGTGCTCTGTGTCTGCAGTCATTTCCTTCCCCATCTGGGACCACTTAGTCCACTGGCAGACTCAGCCTTCCCCAGGTCTGGTGACTCAGCCTTCCCCAGGTCTGGTGGGCAGATCAAAGGGCCCTTGACATTGGATGACTCAGCACCCAGTGAGCTTACTATGAACCAAGCTGACATCAGCTGGGAGAAGACAGCATCAGGGACACAGAGGGTCAGCCCTTGGGATCTGAGAAGCAAGTCTGAGACAGGTGGAAAGAACTGAGTAGTTGCTGAGTCATGGAAGGAAGAACTGAGAGTCATAACTCCTAGAGATGGGAATGGGGGAGCAATGACTTCTGACAATGACTTTCTCCATGCAGGGGGCTGATGCTACAGGCCCTGCTGAAATGCAGCAGTGCTCTTGTCATCTGACCAGTTCTTCCCTAACCTCAGATAGAGTGACCAGCTTCTGCTTTGTGCTTATGACCAATCTCCCGGTTTCCATTCACTCCGGCCTTGGTTTTCCAGGTCCCTCCAGAATGGGGGCTGAGCCCTAGATTTCTTAAGCCATGTTACCTATGGCTAGGGTGTCCGGTATCAGCACTTCCCAGCCAGGATTGCTGTATGTCATCCTGCCAAGACTGTCATTCGGGCCCTCTGCCAACCTCCCTAGGCATCCTCCTGTAAGATTTCTGATGGGCATTTGGAATACACACACTTACCAACCCTCCCCAGGTGTGAAAGCCCATGGAAAGACTGGCATATTTGCTCCTTAATGCAATCTCCTCTTTACAACTAATCCTCCAGACAGGTTTCACAGATAAGTAAACAGAGACTGAGAAGTTGTTCCTTGTTTAGGTCACATGAATGCCTGTCTTTTCTCTGGTTTGATTCCTCTTTATTCTGCATCCATGAAACATGTTTTCCTTGTCATTCTTCAGAACTGGAGATAATAATATCCACAGGATTGTTTTGATGGTTAAATTAAATCATCAATATGAAAGTGCCTAGCACGTAAGAGATACTTAACAAATGGCAGTTTCTTTATTTCATCCTTTTCTGACCTCTGCCTAGAAAACCAGGCTCCTCTGACAGACGTTGAACTTGGTATATGTCTGGGACAGCACTGGAACACATAGTAGGTTGTAGTAAATATTGGATGAATGAAATTAGTTGGGCATGGTGGTGTGTGTATATACATATATATGTGTATGTGTGTGTGTATATATATACACATATATATATATATACACACACACATACACATATATATATATATGATGGATGAATGAATGGATAATCAATGGAAGTATTAAAATTTTATTTAGAGTTTGCAAAAACCTAAAGATCACTCTTTTCCCCCTACACTGTGCTACTCTTGACTTCCTGCTGTTTGTGTCTATCAACTGAACATCAGATCCACTCTTTTGCTGGACTTCTCTTCACCGGCAGTGGAAGATGCTTATCCTCACCTGCCCACAAGATCATGCTTTTTGTGTTTCATGTGTCTAGTCATTGAGTTCCAGGCTCTCCTCGCTTGCCTGTACCTTTACTTTCTAAGCAAAATCCTGTTATTCTGCACTAAGGAGGCTGAACACGAGAGATGTGTTTATCTGAGTGAGTGGTCTACATTTCAGTAGACTTGCTTAGGAAATGGGGGCAACATACTACTGCAGTGTGGTTAGATCTGGGCTCAGTAAGGCTACCTGCTGCTGGCTCAGCACCTTTCCAAATAATTAAGCAATTTACTGAGAGCCTGGAGTTTGGAATCATAGAAAAAAGCTTTGGAGAGAAGTACAAGTCAAAAGTCTATAGATGCTTTTCCTCTAGCCAGCAGTTCCATTAAGGAAATTTATTTTCGTGTTTTGGAAGGGTGGAGATTTTAGTTCAGTCGTGGACATATCCAGCCATTACTCAGTCCTCAGTCAGCAGATTTAAAGGAAGCTCAGAAGGAAAAACCCAGGGCCCTGGGCCATCTGTAAGACCTAAGCACAGCTGCAGCCGTTCCAGGAAGAGGATACCTAGGTCTCCGCTCCAGCTCTGGGCATCCATTAGTGATCACAAAAAAGATACCTGGTAATCAAGGCAAAAACTGCCTTCAGATTATGATCAATTTCTAAAAATTAAGCTGCTTGAAAAAGGATAAATAAGTCCATGAAAAAGGCCCTAAAGTATAGAAGGGTATAATGACCTGGAAATTCCCTGCTCCTAAAGCTCTCCTGTCCCACAGCTGGAACCATATAGTGACTATCTGGAGATTCAGCTCTGTCCCAGACTCCATGATCAATTGCATTTCTGGTCAGGGAAAATATAGAAAATCTTTAGGTATCAGTTTGGGGGCTTAGCATCAAGTCATCCCTGTGCTAGCACCTACTCTGACCTAGCATGCCTGTATGTGGTAAATGTATTCTTACCTTATGCTTTTTGATCAGGTTTTCCCTTGGGACTCAGAAGTTCCAGACCTGCATCCTTATCTTAGTCCTGAACACCTGAACTCCTCCTTGCCTCTGTATTTTCAAAATTGGAAGCTTACCGTTGTATCACAAGAACTTGTAGAATCACACTCCTCTGATGCTTGTCAAATATGTAAAGTAGATTTAGCTCCCCCAGTACTGAAATTTTCTAGGACAACTTGCTCTCAGGCATTGAATCAGCCAGGTTTTGCATCTCAACCCAGCCTCAACTCAGTCTGCCTAAATTGATGTTTGACTGCATCCTGATCATGCAAGAGTAGAGTTTAGTGGATTAACCCATCCATGTCCAAATTCTATCTGCACATAGAATCCTGAGGCATGGGTGAAAGTTGCTAAGGCAGCAGGCTATCCAGAAAGCCTTAGGGCAATCACTGAGAATGAAAGAGATAGCTACATCTTCTTCTACATCTGAATCAAAACCTGCCAATAATTCCAAGAAGCCTGGTTTACAGTATTGCATATGTTCATTCACATTAGCTGTCCAAGACCTTGGTACTTCACCACATGCTTTCATTTCAAAGACCCGGCCAATTAAGGATCTTAAACTGTTGTGAAGCAATAAAAGTTTCCCTAAACAATAACTATACAGAGGATACTTCCAAGACTGAGATTTTGTTATTTCATTTCAGGCATTCTAAATTAAGCCCTGGAGAAACATTTTCCTGCTAATGAGTAATCACTTGTTGTAATATGCATTATTGCTGAGATAATAGGCTATATCAATATCTATTCATGTTATTGTAGCTGGGAAATAAGACTTGAGAATACCACTGTTCAGTATTCTCTGTAGTGAGAAAAAAAACAAATCTTAATTTCCATACTGTCATGTTTGGTTTAAATCATCTATTCTAAAATATAGACATGTATTCACCTTCAATATAATGAATTCATTTGTTGCCCAGACACATTTTATTTTTATCAAATATCCTTCTAAAACAATCTTATATGATAGGACACAGAAGAACAAATAGCCCATGACTTATCAATTGATAAATAATACATTGAAATTTACTAAAATACAGTGTTGATGAAATCTTACCTTTTTAAAAGGGGCTTTGTATAAACTTTAAAATTCATACCTTGAAGGTTTAAAAAAATCCTAGCTCGGATTCTTATGTGTATTTTCTCCCTGCTGATCTACGTTTCAGAATGTGTTGGTTTTTTAAAAATATGAATCTTATATATATATACACCAATTTTTAACAAATACCATCAACTCTTTAGGTGGAGAGTCACAACCTCTGATTGACTTTTCTTATTTTCATTTAGTTGATGTGCAGTAATGGTACGTATTTATGGGATTCAGAGTGATATTTCAATACATGTATACAACGTGTAGCAATCAAATCAGGGTAATCAGCACATCCTCTACCTCAAGTATTTATCATTTCTTTGTGTTGTGAATATTCAGTCTTCTGTTCTAGCTTTCTGAAAAATGTGCAGTAAACTATTATCAATCAAATTCACCCTTCAGTGTTACAGAACACTAGAACTCATTCCTCCAATCTAGCTATAATTTTGTGTCTATTAACCAACCTCTCCCTATACTCTCCTACCCCTACCCTTCCCAGCCTCTAATAACCACAATTCTATTCCTCACTTTTATGAGTTCAGGATTTTTAAAAATTCAAACATGTGAGTGGGAATATTCAGTATTTATCTTTCTGCGTCTGACTTATTTCACTTAATAGAATGTCCTCCAGGCTCATCTGTGTTGCTGTGAATGACAGGATTTCATTTTTATTGCTGAATAGTATTCTATTGTGTATAGACCACATTTTCATTATGTATTCATATGTTGATGGACATTTAAGTTGATTCCATACCTTGACTATTGTTAATAGAGCTGCAATAAATATGAGGTGTAGGTATCACTTTGATATACTGATTTTCTTTTCTTTGGATAAATACCCAGCAGCGAGATTGCAGGAACAGTAGTTCTGTTTTTAGTTTCTTGAGAAATCTCCATGCTGTTTTCTGTAATGGCTGTACTAATTTATATTCCAAACAGGAGTGTATAAGAGTTCCCTTTTCTCTACATCTTCATCAATATTTGTTTTTTTGTGTGTGTGTGTCTTTTTGATGATAGCCATTCTGACTAGGATGGGGTGTTATCTTATTGTGGTTTTGATTTGCATTCCCCTTATGATTAGTGATGTTAATCATTTTCTCATACATTTATTGGCCATTTATATACATTCTTTTGAAAAATGTCTATTCAGATCCTTTGCTTATTTATTAATTGAAATATTTGGTTTTTTTGCTGTTGAGTTTTTAGAGTTTCTTTTACATTCTGGATATTACTCCCTTATTGGATGAATACTATGCAAATATTTTCTCCAATTCCACAGGTTGTTTCTTTATTCTGTTGATTTCTTACTTTGCTCTGCACCTTTTTAGTTTGGTATATTCTATTTTTGTTTTTCTTGCCTGTGCCTTTAAGTCTTACCCATAACATCTTTGCCTAGACCTACATTATGAAGTGTTTTGGCTAGGTTTTCTTTTAATATTTTTGTAGTTTCAGGTCTTACATTTAAGTCTTCAATCCATCTTGAGTTGATTTTTGTATATGGTGAGATATAGAGGTCAAGTTTCATTCTACATCATATGAATATCCAGTTTTCTCAACACCATTTATTGATGAGGGTGTCCTTTCCCCAGTGTATATTCTTGGCACCTTTGTCAACAATCAGTTGGCTATAAATACATGAACTTATTTCTGGTTCTCTCTTCTGTTCCATTGGCCTATGTGTTTTATTCCAATACCATGTTGTTTGGGTTACTAGAGCTTTGTAGTGTATTTTGAAATCAGGTGGTGTAATGCTTTTGGCTTTATTCTTTTTGCTCAGTATGGCTTTGGCTATTTGGAGACTTTTCTGGTTTAATGAAGAATTTAGAATTGTTTTTCCTATTTCTATGAAGAATATCATTGGTATTTTGATAGAAATTGTATTGAATTTGTAGATTTCTTTGAGTAGTATGGTCATTTTAACAATATTAATTCTTCCAATTCATGTACATGGAATGTCTTTCCATTTTATTTGTCCTCTTCAATTTTTTCATCAGTTGTTTTGTAGTTTTCATTGTAGTGATCTTACATCTTTTTGGTTAAATTTATTTTTAAGTATTTTATTTTATTTCTATTTTTGAGATGGAGTCTCTCTCTGTTACCAGGCTGGAGTACAGTGGCGCGATCTTGGCTCACTGCAACCTCCGCCTCCCGGGTTCAAGCGATTCTCCTGCCTCAGCCTCCCGAGTAGCTGGGACTACAGGCATATGCCACCACACCCAGCTAATTTTTGTATTTTTAGTAGAGACAGGGTTTCACTGTGTTGGCCAGGATGGTCTTGATCTCTTGACCTTGTGATCCACCTTCCTTGACCTCCCAAAGTGCTGGGATTACAGGTGTGAGCCACTGCGCCTGGCCTTGTTTCATTTTTATAGATAATGTAAATGGGATTGTTTTCTTGATTTCTTTTTCAGCTAGTTTGTTATTGTTATATAGAGACACTACCCATTTTTGCATATCGATTTTGTATCCTGCAAATTTACTGAATTCACTTATTAGTTCTAAGAGGTTTTTTTTTTTCTTTTGTGCAGTCTTTAGGTTTTTCTATCTACAAGATCATGCCATTTGCAAAGAGGGAGAACTTGACTTATTCTTTTCCAAACTGGATGTCCTTCATTGCTCTGGTAAAAACTCCCATTACTATGTTGAAAATAAGACTGGTGAAAATGGGTATTCTTGTCATATTCCAGTTCTTAGAAGAAAGACTTTCAGCTTTCCTCCATTCAGTATGATGTTAGCTGTAAGTTTGTCATATACGGCCTTTATTATGTTCAGATATTTTCTTTCTATACCTAACTTGTTGAGAGTTTTTATCATAAAGAGATGTTGAATTTTATCAAATGTTTTTTTCTGTGTCTATTCGTTGATATGATGTATCTCCTTTATTGATTTGCATATTTTGAATCATCTTTACATTTCTGAAGTACATCTCACTTTATTATCATGTGTTTCTCATTGATGTGTTGTTGGATTTAGTTTGCTATTATTTTGTTGACAATATTTGCATCTATGTTCAAAAGAGATACTGACCTACAGTTTTCTTTTTTTGTTTTGTCCTTGTCCTTTTTTTGTATAAGGCTGGCCTCATAGAATGAGTTAGAAAAAATTCTTTTCTCTTCAATTTTTGGGAATAGTTTAAAAATAATTGGAGTTTATTCTTTAAATGTTTGGTAGAATTTGACAGTAAAGTCATCTGCTCTTGGGCTTTTTTTTTTCGGTTGGGAAATTTTTATTGCTGTTTTAATCTCATTCCTTACTATTGGTCTGTTCAGGTTTTCTGTTTCTTCATGGTTCAATCTTGGTAGGTTATATGTGTTCAGGAATTAATCCATTTCCTCTAGGTTTTCTAATTTGTT
This sequence comes from Homo sapiens, assembly GCF_000001405.40. NCBI lineage: Eukaryota > Metazoa > Chordata > Mammalia > Primates > Hominidae > Homo > Homo sapiens. The sequence continues at coordinate 31,236,350 of NC_000010.11, read as the reverse complement.
GGTGCACAGGTAGTCATAATAGTCTCTAACGATTCTTTGTATTTCTGTGGTGTCCGTTGTAATATCTCCTTTTTTCATTGCTGATTTTATTTATTTAAATCTTCTCTCTTTTTCTTAGTCTAGCTAATGGTTTGTCAATTTTGTTCATCTTTTCAAAAAACCAAATTTTCATTGATGTTTTATATTTTTTAGTCTCTATTTCATTTAGCTCTGCTCTGATCTTTATCATTTATTTTCGTCTACTAATTTTGGATTTGTTTTGTTCTTGCTTTTCTAGTTCCTTGAGTTATATCATTAGGTTGTTTTTAAAAATAATATTTTCTTTTTTTGATATAGACATTTATGGCTATAAACTTCCCTCTTGGTACTGTTTTTACTGTTCACAGGTTTTTGTTTGTTGTGTTTCCATTTTCACTTGTTTTAAGACTTTTTATATTTCCTTTTTAATTTATCCACTGACTCAATGATCACTCAGGAGCATGTTATTCAATTTTTTTTGTATTTGTAAAGTTTCTAAATGTTTCTTTTGTTATTGAAATCTAGTTTCATTCCATTGTGGTCTGAGAAGATACTGGATATGATTTCAATTTTTAAATATTTGCCGATATTTCTTTTGTGGCCCAATATATGGTCAGTCATGGAGAATGTTCCATGAGCTGACAAGAAAAAAGAAGACTATAGTTTCAATGTGCATTCTGCAGCTGTTTAATAAAATGTTCTGTAAATGTCTGTTAGGTCTATAATGCAGTTTAAGTTTGATGCTTCTTTGTTGATTTTCTGTCTAGATGATTCTGTTTAATACTGAAAGTGTGGTACTAAAGTCCCCAACTATTATTGTATTGGGATCGATCTCTCTCTTTAGCTCTAAAATATTTGCTTTATATATCTAAGTGCTCTGGTGTTGGGTGCATACATATTTAAAATTGTTATATCCTCTTGCTAAATTGATCCTTTTATAATTATATAATGACCCCTCTTTACCTCTTTTTATGCTTACTGACTTAAAGTTTATTTTGGCTGATATAAGTACGACTGCTCTTTCATATTTTTATTTGTGTGGATTTTCCTTTTCTATCTCTTTACTTTCAATCTATTTGTGTTCTTACTGGTTAAATGGTTTCTTTAGGTGGAATATAGTTGGGCCTTGTTCTTCAGCCATTCAACCAGTCTATATATTTTAATTGAAGAATTTAAATTATTTACATTCAAGATTTTTATTGATAGATGAGAACTCACTCCTGTCATTTTGTCAATTGGTTTGTGATTGTTTTGTGTTTCTTTTCTTCCTCTTTTATTGTTTATCTTTGCAATTTGGTGGTTTTCTGTAGTGATGAAATTTGGTTCTTTTCTCTTTCCCATTTGTGTGTCTGCTCTGTCTGTGAGTTTTATACTTTTGAGTATTTTCACAATGGTAGATATTATTCTTTTGCTTCTAGATGTAGAAATCCCTTGAGCATTTCTTGTAGGGTTGGTCTAGTGATGATGTAACTCATCAGTTTTTGTTTGTCTGGTAAAGACTATATTTCTTTTATTTCTGAAGGATAGTTTTGTTGGTTGTAGCATTCTTGGCTGGCAGGTTTTTTTTCTTTCAGCACTCTGAGTGTATCATTCTAATCTCTCCTGGCCTCTAAGGTTTCTGCTGAGAAGTCTGTTGTTAGTCTGATGGAGATTCCCTTATGTGTGACATGACACTGTTCTTCAGCTGTTTTTAAAATTCTGTCTTTGTTTTTGACTCTTGATAATTGGAATGCAACGTCCCTCAGAGATGACATTTTGGGAGTTGAATCTATTTGGGGATCTTTGGGCTTCCTGCATCTGGATATCCATATTTTTTCCAAGACTTGGCAAGTTTTCAGCTATTATTTTGTTAAATAGGGTTTCTGTGACTTTTTCCATCTCTTTTTCTTCCGGAACTCCCCAAATTTGAGTATGTATTCACTTATGGTGTCCCATATGTCACATAGACTTTTTCCATTCTTTTTTATTCTTTTTTCTTTTTGTGTCTTTCTGATTGGGTTATTTCAAAAGACATGTCTTCAACTTCAGAAATTCTTTCTTGTGCTTGATTAAGTCTATTGCTAAAGCTCTCAATTGTAGTTTTTACTTCATTCATTAAATCCTTTAGTTGCCACATTTCTGTTTGGTTCTTTTTTATGATATTTATTGCTTTGTTGAATTTCTCATTCAGATCAGGAATTGGCTTCTTTATTTCTTTGTATTGTCTACGTACATTCTTTGTATCTCACTGAATTTCATTAAAATCATCATTTTGAATTCCTTTTCACATACCACATAGATTTCCTTTACTTTGGGATCTGTTACCAGAGAATTATTGTGTTTATTTGGAGGTGTTGTGTTTCTCTCCTTTTTCATGTTTCTTGTGTCCTTATGTTGATATCTGTGCATCTGGTATAACAATTGATTGACTGAATTTTATGGAGCAGCTTTCACAAAGAATTTCCCATAGATGTATCTATAGTGTTGGCTGGGTAGGGTACCATCTCTGGTTTTGAGTGGCACTGTAGTGTAACCTCCATGCATGTGATTTCTTCAGCTATAATGAACATCAGTAGTGTCTGCAAGTTTCTCAGTGGCTTAGGCTGCAGTATTTTGTGCAGGCTGCAGTGTAGCTTTACCAGGGACTGGGATGCTAGGTGGACCAGTCCTCTGGGCCCTAAGTGGCTCACATGGACCTCAGTGGTGGCGGCAGTGTGCCCTGGATGGGCCAGTCCTCTTTTCCCTGTGTAGGGTACATGGGCTTCATCTGTGGTGATGGCTGTCTGTGAAGGATGATCCTTGGGACTTTGGATGGTGCACACCAGCACTGCTGGTGGCAACAACAGCCTCCACAGGCTGGGTGGCCAATCCGTAAGCCCCTGGGTGGCATGTGTTGGTATTGGCAGCAGGCTCGCTGAGCTAGTAGGGCTAATACTTGGGGCCCCAAGTGGTTGGAGGCACCTGCGTTAGTGGTCATAGCCTGAGCAAATTAAGTTTTGACTTCCTGGGTAGCACATGCAGGCATATAGTGGCCCTGTTACTGGAAAGGGAGGGGTCACTGTCACTGGTGGCAGTCCAGGGACAGTGACTCTCAGGCTCCAGAGAGTGCATGCTTCAGTTCTCTATGTCCTGGGGACAGGCTGCCTTATGTGCTGAACTGCCTGTTCCTCCATGTATGGAGTACTGTATGTGCTTGGGTACGGGGGGTATGGCCGCATCACTGGTTCTAGCTAGCTTTATGACACTGCAGCCCTCTGAGTGATTGTAGGGTGATGTCAGTGGGATCCCAGGGATGTGGAAGTGTAGGGATTTTTGCATCAGGATGAGATGCAGTATGATGTTGGCTCTATTATCAAAATGATGCTGTGCAGCAGCAGCTTGAATCCTAGTGGGTGGGTGGGACCCAGCATCAATTCCCTCTCTGGGAAAATGTAGTTGTGTGAACTCCAGGAAACTCACCATACTAGGCTTAGGGCCTGTGAGGGCCTAGGGGCTCTCCTGTAGCTAGGATTGCAGGTATCTGTGGTGGGAATGTGGACTGTGGGGGATCTCTGGCTTATTGTTTCCCCACAATGGGGAATCTGTCCATGCTTTGATGCTCCAAGCTGATCCTAGCCAGCTTCACTTCCCTCTCTGTGCTGCCATCTTGAGTTTCTGTGCCTCAGAGGGTCTCTCTTATTTCTCTTCTGAATTCCAGTGTTCATCCTTATATATTCTATTCAACATGTGGTTATCTGCTTCCTGTAAGTCATTTAATGAATCTTAAGGAATACAGAGCAAATTCAGGAAACTAAGCAGAGGCAACTGAAATGCAGAATGGAATTTTCGGCAGTCTCTTGGTCCTTGGGGGACAAAAGTTGGGTTTCAGAAACCCTCAAAGGAGTCAGGGGAGGTAGTGAATACCCAAGCTGTCAGTTGAGATCCCTGGAGGCTATAACACCCTGGAGGCTACATCACCATGGAGACAAACTAATCTTTATAAACATTATGACCCTGGTAACTACTGTTCTACTCTCTACTTCTATGAGATCAATTTTTTAAGATTCCGTGTATGAGTGAGATCATGTGATATTTGTCTTTCTCTGCCTGGCTTATTTCACTTAACATAATGTCCTCCACGCTCACCATGTTGTGACAAATAACAAGATTTTGTCCTTTTTTATGGATATGCTAATTACCATGACTTGATTATTACCAGTGTATACGTGTACCAAAACATCACACTGTACCCCATAAATATGCACAGTTACTATATGTCAATTTACAAAAAGATTACAACTCTACCTTAAGTTAACTGAATTTGTTATTGGCTCCAACCAATCCGACTCCATTCTAGATGCCTCACAGAAGATCAATAAATTCTCACTAGAGAATAATGACAGCATCCAAAGCCATCAGTTTTTAACATCAAGATGTCCTCATTAAAAAATAATGCCATTTTTCAACAGGAATGCTTCCAGCTTTTGTCCATTCAATATGATATTGGCTGTGGGTTTGTCATAAATAGCTCTTATTATTTTCAGATATATTCAATCAATACCTAGTTTATTGAGTGTTTTAACATGAAGGGACATTGAATTTTGTCAAAGGCCTTTTCAGCATCTATTGAGATAATCATGTGGTTTTGTTTAAGTGATGGATTATGTTTATTGATTTGCATATGTTGAACCAGCCCTGCACCCCATGGATGAATCTGACTTGATCATGGTGGATAAATGTTTTGATGTGTCACTGGATTCAGTTTGCCAGTAATTTATTGAGGATTTTCATATCTATATTCATCGGGGATATTGGCCTGAAGTTTTCTTTTTTGTTGTGTTTCTGCTGGGTTTTGGTATCAGGATGATGCTGGCTTCATAAAATGAGTTAGGAAGGAGTCCCTTCTTTCCAATTGTTTGGAATAGTTTCAGAAGGAATGGTACCAGCTCTTCTTTGTATCTCTGGTGGAATTTGGCTGTGAATCCATTTGGTCCTGGGCATTTTTTTATTAGTAGGCTATTAATTACTGCCTCAATTTCAGAACTTGTTATTGGTCTATTGAGGGATTTGATTTCTTCCTGGTTTAGTCTTGGGAGTGTGTATGTGTCTAGGAATTTATCTGTTTCTTCTAAATTTTCTAGTTTATTTGCGTAGACGTGTTTACAGTGTTCTCTGATGGTAGTTTATATTTCTTTGGGGCCAGAGGTAATATCCCCTTTATCATTTTTTATTGTGTCTATTTGACTCTTCTCTCTTTTCTTCTTTATTAGTCTAGCTAGAAGTCTATCTATTTTGTTAATTTTTTCAAAAAACCAGCTCGTGGATTCATTCATTTTTTGAGGGTTTTTCATGTCTCTATCTGCTTCAATTCTGCTCTGATCTTAGTTGTTTCTCGTCTTCTGTTAGCTTTTGGATTAGTTTGCCCTTGCTTCTCTGGCTCGTTTAATTGTGATGTTAGGGCATCAGTTTGAAATCTTTCTAGCTTTATGTGGGCATTTAGTGCAATAAATTTCCCTCTTAACACTACTTTCGCTGTGTCCCAGAGATTCTGGTACGTTGTCTCTTTGTTCTCATTGCTTCAAAGAACTTCTTGATTTCTGGAAGCATTCCCTTTGAAAACCAGTACAAGACAAGGATGCTCTCTCTCACCACTCCTATTCAATATAGTATTGGAAGTTCTGGCCAGGGCAATCAGGCAAGAGAAAGAAATAAAAAGTATTCAAATAGGAAGACAGGAAGTAAAATTGTCTCTGTTTGCAGATGACATGATTCTATATTTAGAAAACCCCATCCTTTCAGCCCAGAAACTCCTTAAGCTGGGAAGCAACTTCAGCAAAGTCTCAGGATACAAAATCAATGTGCAAAAATCACAAGCATTCCTTTACAAAAACAATAAACAAGCAGAGAGCCAAATTATGCATGAACTCCCATTCGCAATTGCTACAAAGAGAATAAAATACCTAGGAATTCAGCTAACAAAAGATGTGAAGGACCTCTTCAAGGAGAACTACAAACCACTGCTAAAGGAAATAAGAGAGGACACAAACAAATGAAAAAACATTCTATCCTCATGGATAGGAGGACTCAATATCATAAAAATGGCCATACTGCCCAAAGTAATTTATAGATTCAATGCTATTCTCACCAAACTACCATTGACATTCTCGACAGAATTAGAAAAAAATACTTGAAATTTCATGTGGAATCAAAGACGACCCCGTATAGCCAAGACGATCCTAAGCAAAAAGAACAAAGCTGGAGACATCATGCTACCTGACTTCAAACTATACTACAAGGCTACAGTAACCAAAACAGCATAGTACTGATACCAAAACAGACATATAGACCAATGGAACAGAACAGAGACCGCAGAAATAGCACCACACGTCTACAACCATCTGATCTTTGACAAACCTGACAAAAACAAGCAATGGGGAAAGGATCTCCTATTCAATAAGTGGTGCTGGGAAAACTGGCTAGCCATATGCAGAAAACTGAAACTGGACCCTTTCCTTATACCTTATACAAAAATTAACTCAAGATGGATTAAAGTCTTAAATGTAAAACCCCAAACCATAAAAACTCTAGAAGAAAACCTAGGCAATACTATTCAGGACATAGGCATGGGCAAAGACCTCATGAAAACACTGAAAGCAATTGCAACAAAAGCCAAAATTGACAAATGGGATCTAATTAAACTAAAGAGCTTCTGCACAGCAAAAGAAACTATCATCAGAGTGATCAGGTAACCTACAGAATGGGAGAAAACTTTTGCAATCTACCCATCTGACAAAGGTCTAATATCCAGAATCTACAAGGAACTTAAACAAATTTACCAGAAAAAAATAAACAGCCTCGTCAAAAAGTGGGCAAAGTATATGAACAGACATTCCTCAAAAGAAGACATTCACATGGCCAACAAATATATGAAAAAATGCTCAACATCACTGATCATTAGAGAAATGCAGATCAAAACCACCATGAGATACCATCAGAATGAGATGCCATGAGATACCATGAGAATACCACGCCATACAGAATGGCAATTATTAAAAAGTCAAGAAACAATAGATGCTGGCAAGTCTGTAGAGAAACAGGAATGCTTTTACACTGTTGGTGGGAATGTAAATTAGTTCAACCGTTGTGGAAGACAGTATGGTGATTCCTTAAGGATCTAGAAACAGAAACACCATTTCTCCCAACAATCCTATTACTGGGTATATACCCAAAGGAATATAAATCATTCTACTATAAAGACACATGAACACGTATGTTTATTGTGGCACTATTTACAATAGCAAAGACATGGAACCAACATAAATGCCCATCAATGACAGACTGGATAAAGAAAATGTGGTAAATATACACCACGGAATACTATGCAGCCATGAAAAGGAATGAGATCATGTCCTTTGAAGGGACATGGATGTAGCTAGAGGCCATCATCCTCAGCAAACTAACACAGAAACAGAAAACCAAACACTGAATGTTCTTACTCATAGGTGGTAGTCGAACAATGAGAACATAGGGACACAGGGAAGGGAACATCACACACCAGGGCCCATTGTGGGGTAGGGGGGCGAGGGGAGGTAACTTAGAGGATGGGTCAATAGATGCAGCAAACCACCAGGGCACATGTATACCTATGTAACAAAGCTGCATATTCTGCACATGTGTGCCAGAATTTAAAGTAAAATGAAATAAGAATAAGTAAAAAAGGAATAGCTAAAAATAAAGATAATAATAATAATACCAGGCATACCAAAAAAATAGGACACATTCATGACTTAGATATCAGGGTTATCAGACATGTACTTTAAAATAATGTATTATGAAATTGGCCAGGCATGGTGGCTCACACCTGTAATCCCAGCACTTTGGGAGGCCAAGGCGAGCAGATCACCTGAGGTCAGGAGTTCCAGACCAGCCTGGGCAACATGTTGAAACCGTGTCTGTACTAAAAATACAAAAATTAGCCAGGCATGGTGGTGGGTGCCTGTAATCCCAGCTACTTGGGAGGCTGAGGCAGGAGAATCACTTGAACAAGAGAGGCAGAGGTTGCAGTGAGCCGAGATCGCACCACGGCACTCCAGCCTGGGTGACAAAAGCCAGACTCCTTCTCAAAAAAAAAAAAATTAAAATCAATATGGAAAAATGTATTGGACTATTAAATCTAAAAGAAAATCAAATAAAAATTCAAAAACTAAAAAATATGATAAGCTGTAACTAGATGTACTTTATCATAAATACAACTGAAGAAGGAATTAGTAAATTGGAAGTTGTATTAGTAGAAAATAACCAGATTTGAGCACAGAGAACAAGAAGAGTAGAAATGCAGTGTAAAAACCATATGGGGCATGTTCAGAAGGTCCTTCCAGAATGACAGGGGGTGGGGAAATGAGATAAATGCAGTATTGAAATAATAATAAACATGTTTCCAAAGCCAACAAAACAAGCCACAAATTTAAGAAATACTAAAAGCTTTAAGTAGGATAAACATTTACCCACCCATCCCCCAACCCCATTCCACCCCTGCATGTTACATTATAGTAAAAGTTGGATTTATTCTAGGAATGCAAGGTTGATTTAACATTATAAAAATCAGCAAAATGCAATTCATCATTGTAATTGAGTATAAGAGAAAAATTACTGTCATCTCAATAGATGCAGTAAAAGCGTTGGATAAAATTTAAACCTCAATAATGGTTAAAAAGGGAAATAATTTAGCAAAGTAGATATAGAAGGGAAGTTCCTTAGTTGGATGTACAAGCATGTACAAAAAACTTAGAGCAAGCATTATACCTAAGTTTGGCATATCAAAAGTTTTCCTTTTCAGATCAAAAATGAGACAAAGATACTTAATATCTCTACTTTTATTTAACATTGTAATGGGAGTCTTAGCCAGCACAATAAAGCAAAAAGATAGAATGACTAGAATGGAAGAAATAAAACTGCCATTAGACTTAGAATATTCAAAATAATCTACACACTGTTATTTGTTGTGAACATAGTAAGGACATTAGATTAAAAAATCAATATGAATTTTTTTGTATTTCTATATACTAGTGACAAAGAATCTTAAAATAAAAATTTAAGTATACTGCTTATAATGGCATCAAAAAAATCAAATATCAAGGAATACATCTAACAAAAAATATGCAAGACTTCTATGGAGAAAATTTAAAAATATTATGGAAGCAAATTAAAGAGAACTAAATAAAGTTTGCCACACTCTAGATTGAAAG